>NC_000012.12:27695430-27848125 GCF_000001405.40 Homo sapiens | reverse complement strand
TTAAAAAGGAGGCACTCTTCCTTAATTCATTTTATGGGGCCAACATCATCCTGATACCAAAACCTGGCAAAGATACAACAAAAAAGAAAACTTCAGGCCACTCTCCCTGATCTCAATGCAAAAATCCTCAATAAAATACTGGCAAACCGAATCCAGCAGCACATCAAAAAGTTTATCTACCACTATCAAGCTGGCTTCATCCCAGGATGCAAGGTTTGTTCAACATACACAAATCAATAAATGTGATTCATCACATAAACAGAACTAAAGACAAAACCACATGATTATCTCAATCGACACAGAAGAGGCCTTCGATAAAATTCAATATTGCTTCATTTAAAAACTCTCAATAAACTAGGTGTTGAAGTAACATACCTCAAAATATTAAGAGCCATTTATGACAAACTCACAGCCAACATCATACTGAATGGGCAAAGGTGGAAGCATTCCCCTTGAAAAGCGGTACAAGACAAGGACGCCCTCTCTCACCACTCCTCTTCAACATAGTATTGGAAGTGCTGGCCAGGGCAATCAGCAAGAGAAAGAAATAAAGGATATTCAAATAGGAAGAGAGGAGGTCAAATTATCTTTGTTTGCAGATGACATGATCCTACATCCAGAAAACCCATCATCTCAGCCCAGAAGCTTCTTAAGCTGATAAGCAACTTCAGCAAAGTCTCAGGATACAAAATCAATGTGCAAATATCACAAGCATTCCTATACACCAACAATAGACAAGCAGAGAGCCAAATCATGAATGAACTCCCATTCACAATTGCTACAAAGAGAATAAAATACATAGAAATACAGCTAACAAGGGAAGTGAAGGACCTCTTCAAGGAGAACTGCAAACCACTGCTCAAGGAAATCAGAGAAGACACAAACAAATGGAAAAACATTCCATGCTCAAGGATAGGAAGAATGAATATTGGGAAAATGGCCATACTGCACAAAGTAATTTATAGAGTCAGTGCTATTCCCATTAAACTACCACTGACATACTTCACAGAATTAAAAGAAACGATTTAAAAATTCATATGGAACCAAAAAAGAGCCCTAATAGCCAAGACAATCCTAAGGAAAAAGAAAAAAGCTGGAGGCATCACACTGCCTGACTTCAAACTATACTACAAGGTGCCAGTAACCAAAACAGCATGGTACTTGTACAAAACAGACACATAGACCAGATGTGGAACAGAATAGAGAACTCAGAAATAAGACTGCACACCTACAACCATCTGATCTTTGACAAACCTGACAAAAACAAGCAATGGGGAAAGGATTCCCTATTTAATAAATGGTGCTAGGAGAATTGGCTAGCCATATGCAGAAAATTGAAACTGGACCCCTTCCTTACACCTAATACAAAAATTAACTCAAGATGAATTCAAGACTTAAATGTAAAACCCAAAGCTATAAAAACCCTGGAAGAAAATCTAGGCAATACTGTCAGGACATAGGCACAGGCAAAAATTTCATAGCAAAAACACCAAAAGCAATTGCAACAAAAGCAAAAATTGACAAATGGGATCTAATTAAACTAAAGAGCTTCTGCGCAGCAAAGGAAACTATCATCAGAGCAAACAAACAACCTACAGAATGGGAGAAAAATTTTGCAATCTATCCATCTGACAAAAGTCTGATATCCAGTCTACAAAACACTTAAACAAATGTACAGGAAAGAAAAAAACATTAAAAAGTGGGCAAAGGACATGAACAGACACTTCTCAAAAGAAGACATACATGCAGCCAAAAAACATATTTAAAAAAGCTCAATATCACTGATCATCAGAGAAATGCAAATCAAAACCACAATGAGATACCACCTCACACCAGTCAGAATGGCAAGTATTAAAAAATCAAGAAACGACAGTTGCTGGTGAGGCTGCGGAGAGATAGGAACACTTTCACACTGTTATTGGGAATGTAAATTAGTTCAACTGTTGTGGAAGACAGTGTGGCGATTCCTCAAAGATCTAGAACCAGAAATGCCATCTGACCCAGCAATTCTATTACTGGATATGTACCCAAAGGAATATAAATCATACTATTATAAAGATACATGCATGCCTATGTTCATTATGACACTATTCACAATAGCAAAGACATGGAATCAACCCAAATGCCCATCAATGATAGACTGGATAAAGAAAATGTGGTCCATATACACCATGGAATACTATGCAGCAATAAAAAGGAATGAGATCATGTCTTTTGCGGGGACATGGATGGAGCTGGAAGCCATTATCCTCAGCAAACTAACTCAGGAACAGAAAACCAAACACTACATGTTCTCACTTATAAGTGGGAGCTGAACGATGAGAACACATGGACACAGGAGGGGAATAACACACACTGGGGCATGGCAGGAAGGGGCCGGGGGAGGGAGAGCATCAGGGAAAATAGCTAATGCATGCTGGGCTTAATACCTGTGATGAGTTGATAGGTGTAGCAAAGCGCCGTGGCACACATTTACCTACGTACAAAACCTGCGCATCCTGCACATGTACCCCTGAACTTAACATTTTTTTAAAAAAAGAAAAAAAATCAGAATTTCAAATAAAATATCAAGTCTCTTAATTTTCAACCAACAAGGCTTGCAGTAATAAATTGGGACTCTGAGAGGCCACTGTCCAGCCCTGGAGTGCTTCTTTCTTTAGCGCAAGTAATACCACTGGGCTTGACATAAGGCTTTACAAGTCTACATTAACAAATCTCATTCTCCCACAACCACATTTTACTGATAATGAAATTAGTGCTAAGCTGTTAAAAGATTTGCCTAGTATCCCATGACCAATCACTGTTAGACCCAAAGCTGGAATCCAGATCCTTTGATGGTAGATGTGGAGTAGAAAGAAATGGACTTTGGAGTCCATCTGACCTGGGTTCAAATCCCAGTTTTGCCCTTAAACTGTGTAATTTTCTAAAGTTACTCGATCTGGCCAAGCTTTGGTTTTCCCCTCTGTAGAAAGAAGACAAAGGTCTTCCGTACAATTATGGAATAAGGATTGAGAGCCTATGTGCAAAGTGCCTGGTGCTCAGTGGGTTCTGCTGAAAAGACACATTCCCTCCCCACCTTGCGGTTCAAGGTCACCTGCAGCCCATCACAGAAGGATCACATAGAGCGATCACCTGGAGAAGCCTTCAGACTGGGAAGAGACGTTCACTTCATCTGGCAGCTGTAAGTGGTCAAAAAGCAAGACCATATGTCTCTCCACCTGTCCCCACTGGCCTTTCTCCTAAGGGACGAAATCGAAGAGAACTCTGGGTTTTGGCTTCCTGGATGGTTTATTAGGGCTGTAGAAGGACTTCAAGATGATTCTCATAAAAGCTGTTTTCCTTGTGATTAAGTTGTGTTTGCCTGTTAACTATGTGGTAAACAAACCCTCCACTCCCCCCTTATGGTTATAGCGTAGCCGCCTGTTAATTGGGACTTGGAGGGTAGCGGGCTGGCAAGGCTGCCCGGGACAGGAAGCCAAGAAGCCCAATTTGGTTATCAGTTCTGTTGACATGAGCTGAGCTGTATGTGGTTGTGCGGTGTGTCCAGCAGGTCTAGCTTGGGGTTTTCCCAGCTATGAAAGACCTGCTGTTTGAAACACTTGGACTGTAGTCAAACAAGGGATTCGGATCAGGGCTCCGGATCAGGGCTGTCGCTGCCGTCAGCCCCATCAGCTCTGCGAGCATGGTTTCCCTCTTGGGCAGGGGGAAAGGCAAGCCAAACATGTCTGATCCTATACTTGGTTCAGGGCTGAGGGGAGAAGGCAAGGCAAGGAATGAAACAGGCTGCACCTGGAGCTAATCTGCCCTCCTTAACACCCCACCACAACCTCATCAGGGACAGAAAAAATAAAAAATCCCTTTCCCTGCAAAAGGCATGAGAAGCACTGAAACCCTCTCCCTCTGTGTCACTTATCAGAACTGAACTCAGACAGACTTAATCCCTGAAACAAGACTGCCAGAGGATCAAATGGGTGGGAGAGGCTTGCTGGGAAATTCCTCCCAGCCCGTGGATACATGAGTTGGGAAGAAATTGGGGCAGTTCCCAGTGTAACTTGCTACCCCTCCCCCAGGAGCAATCACTGTCAAAAATGATTTATCTTAAACATTTTTTAATTATTTTAGCCAATGGGGTGTGTATGTGTGTGTATGTTACAGAGAGAGAGAAGAGTATGTGTGTGTTTTTAATCATTTGCGGTTAAGTCTGAGTTCACAAGAGCCTGAGTTCAGTAGCGTCCAACCGCCAAACCCACACCCAAATATTTTGTAGATAACAGAAGAGCCATTGCCGGGTTATGCTCGTGTGTACACAGACAAGCTTTGTGGTGGTGTGGCGAGGACCCTGAAGTGGGAGTTGGGATGCGAAGCTTCTGCAACAAGGGCTGCCACATGTGATTCAGCTGCATCTCAAGAAACAAGGTTTTGAGGAAATTCCATGAAAACCATTCCCTCTTCTTCCTAGTAATTGAGTATAATGAAGCACCTAATGGGTACTGTTATGGAGTTAAGTGCTGATGAACAGGGGTAGCATTTATTATTAGGTTTAGGGTTGTTGGGGTTTTTTGTTTTTGTTTTTTGAGGCAGGGTGTCAGTCTGTCACCCAGGCTGGAGTGCAGTGGTGTGATCACAGCTCACAGCAGTCTCCACTCCCCCGGCTCACGCGATCCTCTCATCTCAGCCTCCCAAGTAACTGGGCCTACAAGCACGCACCACTATGCCCAATTAATTTTTGTATTTTTTTTTTTGTGGAGACGGGGTTTCACCATGTTGCCCAGGCTGGTCTCAAGCAATCCACCCGCCTCGGCCTCCCGAAGTGCTGGAATTACAGGCGTGAGCCACCATGCTTCACCTACGGTTATTCTTACAACTCCACATGAAGTGCTCACAAGACTGGAAGCAATTATGCCAAGATGTTAACTGTGGTTAATTCTGGATGGTGGGAATATGAGGGTGCGTTATTTTCTCCTTAAACTTTTCTACAGTTTAGACATTTCTACAAATACATAATTTTAAATGCTTGCTAAATGAATGAATAAATGAACCCAGGTAGGAATGGAAATAGGTCTAGCTCCTGATTTCAAAATTGCTCTTATTCCTGAAGAGAATAATTGCAAGCATCTGTTTATGTGGGATTTGTGTGTGTGTGTGTGTGTGTGTGTGTGTGTGTGTGTGTTTACTTTCTAATTTTTTTTTTTTTTAGGATAGTTGAAGAATGAAAAACAAGAGGCAGTGTATTGGGAACAGCAGATAGTGGGGAAAAGAGATTGAAAATTTGTGGAGAGAGGAGACGAAAGCCAGATAAGAACCACTTAGCTTTAATAAGTGGCTTCCTTTGAGAAACATGGAAGGTTCCAGATGGGCAACAGAAGAGCTTGGCTGGTCGTGTTCACATGTAAAAAGGTTTCCACCATGTAAGACAACATTTGCCAGAATGTAAACACCACCAGTCTAGGGATCCTATTTGTTCACTGCTCAATCATCTGTGTCTAGAGTAGTGTCTGGTACATGAAACATGTTTCAATCAATAATTTTTAGATGATGAGTGAATCCATTGTCTTTGAATCCAAAGAGAAGAGGAAGCCAGGCACAGTGGCTCACACCTGTAATCCCAGCACTTTGGGAAGCCGAGACGGGCAGATCACCTGAGGTCATAAGTCCCAGACCAGTCTGGCCAACATAAAGAAACCCCATCTCTACTAAAAATACAAAAATTAGCCAGGCGTGGTGGTGCATGCCTGTAGTCCCAGCTACTCAGGAGGCTGAGGCAGGAAAATCACTTGAACCTGAGAGGTGGAGGTTGCAGTGAGCCGAGATCACACCACTGCACTCCAGCCTGGGTGACAGAGTAAGAAACTGCCTCAAAATAAAATAAAATAAATAGAAGAGGAAACGGCTTTCAAGTAACAAATTGTATGATTTAGATAAGAGACAGATAGAAAATATTTCTGACTGTGAAGAATTTGAAACATTTTTAAGGGTATCAATGCCAGCGGTGGGATTTCTAACCCCTGGAACTTTATAAGAAAAGAGATCATCAAAAATATGTATTATTGTAGTAGTAATAATGTTAGAAAGTCCTATACACAAGTCAAAGAGGTTCCTATATTCCTTTATTTGCTCTTATTTTGGTTTAAAAGACATGCTAAGGCTGTCTTGACCATTTCCCAAAAACTAAGGCAACTAATGAGTGTTTCATTGCAAACTGTTTCTCCCCTCAACCCACAGTTGTCAAATGGCTCCAGGTTAAACGTTTATTGTAATGAACTTGACATAATTATTTAAGCTCTACACAAACTATATAGGACCACGTAAGGCTTCATGATCTCTTTAGTCAGTAGAATGTGGTCAGTTATGAGTAAAGGTAAAACCATACAAAAGCTAAGCTGTCAAAAATATGATTGAGAGATTGAAAATAAATGCACCTGGTCACATGGCTTCCTAGACCATGGGATACACAAGGACACTCTGTAGTGACCTTCTGGTGTGTTTCTTCTTACTTGAAAGTTCTTGCCTGAGCAGTTCAAGTTCGAGGGGCTGTCTACAATGGGCATGAGGCCTGCTGTTATGTCTTCAGTAGTCCCCAGGCCCTCACTTTGAAGTGATGACTCACAAAGAATATTTTGTCAGGCCGACTGGGTCGTAAAAATATTAAGTGTGGTTTTAAGCAGTAAAGGTTTTTATTATCATGCTCACTTCCTGTCATGAAGCCTTGCATTAAATTGTACTTTAAAAGGGATTAATGACCTGCCTGCTATGTTTCACAAGAAATTTATTATTATAAATATTCTAGAAGCATTGATAGTAACACTAGGGTTCATTTTTTAAAAATTGGAGGTGCTCAGAAAATGTTCACTGAACTGAATTTGCAGCATATTAAACAAAAAAGCATGATAGTGTATTGGGGTGAGAATTCAAGAATTTGTTTTAATCCAGAAGTTGTCAGACTTTATCCATCATCGTGGAATTGTTGACGCTATCATCAGAATGGGACACATTCCTTGCTTAGACCTCTCATACCTCAGCAGGGCAAGGTACCTTGTTTCAGCTGGTTGTAGCCCAAGATGATTATCCCCCTCCTTCTAGGACACTCAGCTGACAAGACTGACTGAACCCCCTTTCAGTGTCATTGTCTTTTAAAAATCTAACAAGAAAAATCATCACTTCCTATCTTGGTTGTAATTCAGTAAGACTTACAATTTGCCAACTGTATTATCTCGCCAGCCACCAAGCCACTTTTCTTCTTTGCTGAATTTGGTTTACCACTTTCAGGCCACGTTATCCTAAGCAATTTCTGGCTTCTTAGAAGCAGGGCTTAGGGGCCCACTTTCAGATCCACAAACTGAAGTCATTTTAGTGCCTGCCTCATTTAATCTTTCTTTAGTTTCAATACTTGTCTCTCATATTCTCTAGCTTGTTCAGCTTCCTCTTCTGCAAAATGAGGATGATACTGTAGATTGCTTAAGCTAACGAAGATAAATACTGTTTCACATAATTTGCTAAATGCCAAGTATTTTGAAAACAGCTAAAATAGTCTGCATGTATTGTAATTCTCAGGCCCTAACTTTGGCAGCATTTCAAAGGTGACATTTCCATTTGTATTGTTAGAAAGGACTAAACATGTACATTTGATTGGCAGGGTTTAGAAAAAGATCTGGTACAGATATGTTCCTCATTAAATTCATATTGCATTATTATACCTCTGCAGAAAAGCTATGTAAAAGGCCTTCCAGAAGAGGGCAATGTTTCTGAGGTTAATTTGGCTAATAAATTTTCCAAACACCAAATATTCACACTAACTCCACATTATTTATTCAAAAGCCCTCTCATGCTGAAGTCTGAGAACTGATGACTTTAGGAAAACATTGGATTTGTACTGATTCCTCTTATAAATATTACTGTAATTTTCCTTTTCTTGAGAAATCTGAAACTATTCTATCTGATGTTTGACATAAGTCTTCTTTGGGGCCTAAAGTTTCTGGGAAATGTCTTTGTGCCATGCCAGAGTCTTGGTTTAATTGTGCTGACAGTTCACAAACTTTTAAGACTGGCTTGCCTCTTGAGACTGAAATATTGATGTTATTTTAGATGGGTGCTTGGCTGCAAAGATTACCATTTGATCTGCAAAGAGAAGGACTTAGAAAACACACTTGAGGCCGGGTGCGGTGGCTCACGCCTGTAATCCTAGCACTTTGGGAGGCTGAGGTGAATGCATTGTTAGAGCTCGGGAGTTCAAGACCAGCCTGGACAGCATGAAGAAACCCTTTCTTTACTAAAAATACAAACATTAGCTGGGCATGGTGCTATGTGCCTGTAGTCCCAGCTACTCAGGAGGCTGAGGCACGAGAATTGCTTGAACCCCAGAGGCAGAGGTTACTGTGAGCCAAGACTGTGCCACTGCACTGCAGCGTGGGCAACAGAGTGAATCTCTGTCTCAAAAAAAAAAAAAAATAGAAAAGAAAAGAAAACATACTTGATTGTTCTTCCCTTTCTCAAATGCTAAGTCAAGCTGATCCTGAAGCTATGGTTCATAAATTACTATGGTGACTACCCTGCAGTGTGAGAGACAGGACCCTGAGTCCTCACAGGAATCTGGAGTGAAGAACTAAACTTTTTCCCCACTGAAAACAGCACGGTTATCTCAGGGACTCTTCCTAGAAAGATGCTGTTCAAACTTGAGTTTTAAAAAATAAAAGCACTTTCTTCCTAGAAAGATTTCGTAATTCTGCTCCAAAGAACCCTAGCCCAAAATATCCTATGGAAACCATTTCAAGAGAGTCCTACTTAAGAGAATTCAGATGAGTTTATGGTGGCAAGTGCACCATGCTTCTCCAAGTGTGTGCAGCCTGTACCAGCCAGGCACATTATAATAAAAGGTGACTTGCCAATAGCACTGGCATGTCCCAAGGAGAATTTTGCCTGAAAGATCTCAAAAAAGCAAACTTAGCTTCCATTAACCTCTCCAACCCTATAAAATTATCACCTGCGTGGACATCTATTTATTTGTTTGTTTTGTTTTGACTGCCAATATCACTTCCCCTGTATTTTGGCTAAGAATGCTTAAGCAATGGACATGTGATCCTAGTTTGGACAATCAGATTTTCTCTTCTTGCAATTTGACTCTTCAGTGAAGTGACAAAAGAACAGGAATTGTTGGGTGCAATCCTTCTAAAACAGCCCAGTGAAGAAACAGCTGGTTAGTTCCTCCTACTGAGATCCTTGTAGTTGTAGTTCTCCTGGCCTCTGCCCCTTCTGAGACCTGAACACTCAGCTTGTCCTTGGATTTTGTGAGCTTAAGTTAATCAGTGTTGGTTTCCTTTATTTGCTACCAAAGATCCCTAACCAAAGCATCTCCTGAATATAAAGGAATTCTGCAAATCCCTATGGGCCAAAGACCACGTGGATTGTCACACCATGTACTGCTAGCCAGAAAACAAAAACAAAGCCTTCTTTAAAAGTCTATAAAAGGCATCCATTTCCAAGTTAGAAGAGCAAAGACATTTCCAATCCCTTCTGAAAAGTCATCTGAAAACAAGGAAAATAGGAAACAGAAAGAGGACTCTATGTTTTTGATGAAACTAAAATCACCTATAATCCTGAATCAAAATGCTAAAAGTAAATCAGAGAACTGTGGATTGCTTAACTGATGGAGGAAAGTCAAAACCAGTGCTGAAATGGTGGGATGCAGGAAGTAGGGGCAAGCTATGGTTTGAGAAGCAAATCCAGGAAAACTCAGAATTCAAGGTACCTGTTAGGAATGAGGCCAAGGCACTGAAAAGAAAAGGCCTGTCTGAAAGTCTACATAAGGAAAGTC
Source organism: Homo sapiens (assembly GCF_000001405.40). NCBI lineage: Eukaryota > Metazoa > Chordata > Mammalia > Primates > Hominidae > Homo > Homo sapiens. The sequence goes on along the minus strand of NC_000012.12, from coordinate 27,838,317 downwards.
TATCTCAGACCCTAGGCCCACCCCCATGCTACACTGTCAGGAACTCTCCATCTTCCACCCCACCACAAGATACAAGGGTTTTCTCCCTAGCAACATTTCCCCAGAGAAACTACAGTCATGAAGCACAGGGAAGTGTGGGGGTGAGGTTCTGCAGAATAAACAGATAATGCCTTCAGATCTTTCCCTTCCCTGAAGGTGGAGGTGAGGGGAAGGGAAGTAAGAAAATGTCCAGGACTTTAACTGTGCAGGCAAATGTATTCATAAGCTTTGTAAGAAGCTGTTGAAAGGTATAGGAAGACTTCATCATATAATCCTAGAAAAACAGATGAAGAGTTGAAGTCACTATAATAATATTACCTCCAGGAAGAAGAAAAAGTTGTATAACAGGAAAAATAATCCCTCCTTGGCTTAGTGGGAAAAAATTAACATAGTCATAACGATGGAAAGACTGAATACTGTAGTTGAGCAGAAAGTGAGGACTGGATAGGAGGAAGTCAATATATAATGTATAAAATTGACAAACCAAAAGATCGAAATACAGGGTTAATGTGGCCGGGGCGATGGCTCATGCCTATAATCCCAGCACTTTGGGAGGCCAAGATGGGCGGACCACCTGAGGTGAGGAGTTCAAGACCAGCCTGGCCAGCATGGTGAAACCCCGTCTCAACTAAAAATACAAAAATTAGCTGGGTGTGCTGGTGGGCCCCTGTAATCCCAGCTACTCGGGAGGCTGAGGCAGGAGAATTGCTTGAACGTGGAAGGCGGAGGTTGCAGTAAGCCAAGATTACACCACTGCACTCCAGCCTGGGCAACAAGAATGAAACTCTGTCTCAAAAAAAAAAAAAAAAAGAAAGAAACTAAAAAAAAAGAAAGAAATTCAGGGCTAATGCCGAAAGATACATATCAAAGAGTTCAAAATTGTTGCTTCTGGGGATGGGGACAGAAGTAAAAACGGAAGACAAGCAATCACTGTTTTCTGTAATAAGCCATGTAACATTGTCTAACTTTTTTAGCTACTTGTAAATAATACTTTGATAAAAATTTAGGCCTACACAGTGGTTCATGCCTGTAATCCCAGCACTTTGGAGGGCCGAGGTGAGTGGATTGCTTAAGGCCAGAAGTTTGAGACCAACCTAGGCAAAAAAGCAAGACTCTATCTACAAAAAAATGAAAAACATTACACGCATGATGGCACACGCCTGTAGTCCCAAGTACTCAGGAGGCTGAGGTGGGAGGATTGCTTGAGACCAGGAGTTGGAGGCTGCAGTGAGCATTGATTGAACCATTGCTCTCCAGCCTGGGTGACAGAATGAGAACCTGTCCCTGTCTCTAAAAAAAAAAAAATTTTAATCTAAATTAACTTTTTCAAGTCACCAGAGTTACCTTGATGAATTTTTATGCAACAGCAACTGTAGATTGTTAGAATCATAGCTGTGTCCCAGAGCTCTTGGTTTCCTTATCTGTAATATTGTGATGATAAAGATTCTTTGAACAAATTGTATTGAAAGATTGACTCCTTTTTAAACGTTTTAAATTTACAGTATTTGTGTAGTGGGTTATACCTGAAATAATTTTCAAATTCAAGCCCTTTTAAACATTAAAATTATCATATTTCTAAGATAAGCAGAAACTTGATTGATTGTATTACGAGGACAAAATGGCTATACCATATTTGTATTTATTTTATGTAATACTAGGGTTTGTTTTTCAGTTTTTGTTTGTCTGCTTGTTTTTTGAGACAGAGTCTTACTCTGTTGCCCAGGCTGGGGTGCAGTAGCATGATCACGGCTCATGGCAGCCTCGACTTCCTAGGCCCAAGCAATCCTCCAACCTCAGCCTCCTGAGTAGCTGGGACCACAGGCATGTGCCACCACACCCAGCTAATTTTTGTATTTTTTATAGAGACAGGGTTTTGCCATCTTTCCCAGACTGGTCTTGAACTCCTAGGCTCAAGCAATCCTCCCGCCTCAGCCTCCCAAAGTGCTAGGATTACAGGTGTGGCCACCATGCCTAGCCAACACTAGAGTTTTAAATTTAAATTATTTCATTAAAAGTGTCAGTGAAACTAAGAATGTCTACATTAAAATACAACATTGATAAACTAATTTCCAGTAAAATTTATATAAAAGTAAACATTACACATTGTCATTCTGAAATTAAGCACTAGCAAATCATATTCATAAAAATAAATTTATGTTTAAAAACAAAGTCACTAACATGAAAATGAAAACATGTAATGAATAGTAAAAAGTCAATAAGGAATTAACATTAATTTTTTTGAGTGCTGTCTTTTAAAAAAAAAAAAGCAAAGTGTGTCATCTTTAAATCATACATAAATTTTCATACAAATAATCCAGCCACTGGAAAAAAATTTTATGACTGTGACAGTCTGGGGACTAATGGAGAGATAATTATGATCCAACTGCAAACATTTTCTTTTGGTTCTTACGTCTTCAAATAATACCATCTCTTATTTAATAATTTTAAGATCTTTTTGAACATCTTTTTTTTGCAAAAGCTGTATCTTTTACTGAGAGCAACCTGTAATTTTTGTTTCAAAGAATGCATCTATAGTTTATTTCATCTTTATCATGTTTAAAGTTCAATACTCATGTCCATATTCCACTAGATTTAAAACACTTCGACTGTCTAGACTTGTAGACTGTTCATCAGGTTGTCTTTTCTTTTGATTTTTTAATTGAGTCATTGGTCTTCATCTTAAGGTATACAGGCATACCTCAACAATATCGCAGGTTTGGTTCCAGACCATCACAATAAAGCGAGTCATACAAATTGTTTGGTTTCCCAGTGTGTATAAAAGTTTGTTTACACCATACTGTAGTGGGTTATACATGAAATAATTTTCAAATTCAAGTGCGATAAGTGTGCGATAGCATTATGTCTAAAAAAAAGTATGTATCTTAACTTAAAAATAATTTATTACTAAAAAATGCTATCATCTGAGCCTTCAGCAAGTCATAATCAAGTTTTCCTCATAAGATTGCAGCAATTGAATCACATCTTCAGGTTCCATTGCTAATTTTAGTTCTCTTGCTATTTCCACCACATCTCTAATTACTTCCTCCTCTGAAGTCTTGAACCCCTCAAAGTTATCCATGAGGGTTGGAATCGCCTTCTTCAAAACTCCTGTTAATGTTGATATTTTGACCTCCTCCCAAGAATTATAAATGTTCTTAATAGCATCTAGCATGGTGAGTCCTTTCCAGAAGGTTTTCCATTTACTTTTCCAGATTCTTCAGAGGAATCACTATCTATGGCAGCTATAACCTTACAAAATGTATTTCTTAAATAATAAGACTTGAAAGTCAAAGTTGCTCCTTGATTGATGAATTACAGAATGGACGTTGTGTTTGCAGACACAAAGACAACATTAACTCATTGTATATCTCCTTGTACATCATCAGAACTCTTGGATGATCAAATGCATGGTCAATGAGCTGCAATATTTTGAAAGAAATCTTTTTTGCTGAGTAGTAGGTCTCAACAGTGGGCTTAAAATATTCAGTAAACGATGCTGTAAATAGATGTGCTGTCATTCAGGCTTTGCTTGTCTATTTATAGAGTACAGGCAGAGTAGATTTAGCAACATTCTTAAGGCCCCTAAGATTTTTGAAATGGTGAATGAGCATTGCCTTCAATTTAAAGTCACCCAGCTGCATTTGCCCCTAACAAGAAAGTCAGCCTGTCCTTTGAGCCTCTGAAGCCAAGCATTGGTCTCTCCTTTGTGGCTATGCAAGTCTTAAATGGAATCATCTTCTAATACAGAGATGTTTCATGTACATTGAAAATCTGTTTTGTTTGGTGTAGCCACCTTCATCAATGATCTCAGCTAGATCTTCTGGATAACTTGCTGCAGCTTCTACATCAGCACTTGCTGCTTCACTTTGCACTTTTATGTTGTGGAGAGAGCTTCTTTCCTTAAAACTGATAAACTAACCTCTGCTAGCTCTGAATTTTTCTTCTGCATCTTTCTCACCTCTCTCAGCCTTCACAGAATTGAAGAAAGTTGGGGCCTTCTTCTAGATTAGGCTTTGGCTTAAGGGAATGTTGAGACCAGTTTGATCTTCTATCCAGACCACTAAAACTTTTCTCCATACCAGCAATAAGGTTGTTTTGCTTTCTTATCATTCATGTGTTCACTGAAGTAGAACTTTTAATTTCCTTCAAGAGCTTTTCCTCTGTAGTCACAACTTGGCTAACCGTTTGGCACAAAGGGCCTAGCTTTTGGCCTGTCTTGGCTTCAGCATGCCTTCCTCACTAAGCTTCATCATGTCTAGCTTTTGATTTAAAATGAGAGACATGTGACTCTTTCCTTCACTTGAACACTTAGAGGCCCTATAGGGTTATTAATTGTCCTAATTTCAGTATCGTTGTATCTCAAGGAATAGGGAGGCCCACGGAGAGGGAGAGAGAGGAAGGAACACCCAGTCCAGTGGAGCAGTCAGAGAATATAACATTTGGGAATTAAGTTTGCCATCTTTATGGACATGGTTGACAACTCCCCAAAACATTTATAATAGTAACATCAAAGATCACTGATCACAGATCACCATAACAGATAAAATACTAATGAAAAATCTGAAATATTGCAAGAGTTACCAATATGTGACACAGAGACACAAAGTGAGCACATGCTGTTGGAAAAATGGTGCCAACAGACTTGCTCAACTCAGGGTTGCCACAGATGTTCAATTTGAAAAAAAAAAAAACACAATATCTGTGAAACAAAGTGAAGCACAATAAAATGAGGTACGTCTGTAACTGAGTGGGACTTCTTTTTTTTATTTTTTATTTTTTAATTTTTTTTTATTTTTTTTTTATTTTTGTTTGAGATAGTGTCTTGCTTTGCCACCCAGGCTGGAGTGTAATGGCACAACCTCGGCTCACTGCACCATCCACCTCCCAGGTTCCAGCGATTCTCCCACCTCAGCCTCCTGAGTAGCTGGGATTACAGATGCCTGCCACCATGCCTGGCTAAATTTTTACTTTTAGTAGAGACGGGGTTTCACTATGTTGGTCAGTCTGGTCTCAAATTCCTGACCTCAGGAGATCCGCCCGCCTTGGCCTCCCAAAATGCTGGGATTAGAGGCGTGAGCCACTGTGCCCGCCCAGGACTTCACCTTTTTACAATAAAAAATAACATTACCATATCATCAAGTAATATGTGATTATTTGATACTTAAAAATAGTACAGTATGCAGATTACTGGAATAGTGAAAATTGATAACGCAATCCCTAGTAGAAAGAAAATCCGAAAGAGTTCTGTATACCGGCTTTCAGTACATTTAAATATATATATGTTTGAACAATTCATCTTTATCCCTAATACAATAACTTTTCAAAAGCTAATTTATAAATGTCAGTTTGTACAGATACAAACTGTATAATATCCAATATAATCAGATATTCTCAGAATATACAGATTAAATATACAGAAATAAATGTATGGTTATTGCCTGATCATAATTCCTTAGGGAAGGCAATAATTCACAATTTATGTACCCACAGTGGCAGTGTAGAGAGGTGGTTTTGCCAGTGATTACTTAATACTAAGTTGCCAACACAGTACTTAAAACCTTCATTTATGAGAGTCTAAGAGATCTCCTTCCTATGCATCGAGGCTACACAATAGAAAGAAATTAGCTTTTAAAACAATGATGCAGTCCGGTTGCAGTGGCTCACGCCTGTAATCCCAGCACTTTGGGAGGCCCAAGAGGGCGGATCACCTGAGGTCAGGAGTTCGAGACCAGCCTGACTAACATGGTGAAACCCTGTCTCTACTAAAGATACAAAAATTAGCAGGGCACAGTGGCAGATGCCTGTAATCCCAGCTACTCAGGAGGCTGAGGCAGGAGAATCACTTGAACCCGGGAGGCAGAGATTGCAGTAAGACAAGATCACGCCATTGCACTCATGCCTTGGCGACAAGAGCGAAACTTTGTCTCAAAAAAAAAAAGCAATGATGCAAAGAAGAAGACAACAGACACTGGGGTCTATTGAGGGTGAAGAGCGGGAGGAGGGAGAGGAGCAGAAAAGATAACTATGGGCTTAATAGCTGGGTGATAAAATTATCTATACAACAAGCCCCTGTGACACATGTTTACCCATGTAACAAACTTTCACATGTACCCCTGAGCCTAAAATAAAAGTTTAAAAGAAAAAGCAGTGATGGTTTCTAGTGTCTCCTCTTAGTCTCTCTAACCTCTCTGCTTTTCAATTTCTAATGGGTTAAATAGTGGGAACTGTCAACCTATTGTCTACCTTTATGTCACACTGAAAAATAGAATATGTGACACTATCTGGGGTACAATTCCCCAGTTGATTGTAGGGGTCACTATAAAGTCTGCCCTTCAACGCACCTATTGCAATTAAATGTTACAGGAATCCAGGTTCATCATTAGGCATTTGCTTTTGGAGTTAAGCATTGTCCTCCGTCCTTAATACTCTTTACACCTATGGACTCCCTGGGAAGGAAGGCATATTCCAGTCATTGTTATCTTATTGCGGACTTGGTTTCGGAGGAAGGCAGGACAGGAAGCATGAGAACACTGGGGAGGAGCCCAGCCCTGCACACAGTGGGAGAGAAAGAGTGCAGAAAGGTGGGGTGAAGAGGTCAGAGAGCATCCCTCCCAGGTTTCAGATATTTCCCTGAGCCCAGCTTTATCTCCTTCTTAGTTCAATGCTTCTCTCTACATTAAACCTCAACCCCATTTATACCAGGTTAATCTCCACTCTATTTCTATTTCGAAGGTCAACTGCCCACTCCTTACTTTGAACCAACACAACCGTGAAGTTAATGAGACTGCTTCACTAATCACCACAAAAAAGAGAAGCCAAATTAGAACACTGTGAATGAATGTGCAGAGCAGTGAATTAATGGTTTGGCACTACACATTTCAAGTCTGGGAGGTTAAAAATGCTTCTCATGGATGTGCCCAAAGCTTCCAGGCTGTGTCAGTGCTTTCTGTTTTATACATTTGGGCTTTGGCATCCAATGGCAGTGGACTTCTTGAGGAGGTAAGGAAAGTGGGAAATACTCCGTTTTAGCTCTCTCCAGATTAAATATCCAGGACGGCCTAATGACTGATACCACAACACAGACAGCACTTCTGTATACCAGCCTTAAAGATAAAAAGGAGCCTCAAGAACTGGTCCTGATTTCCATAAGGTCAAGAAGGGTGACCCCAAAATTATAAATATAATTTTTGAAAAGGTAATTTTTGCACAACAGACAAATCCATGGGGTACAACATTTCCAACTATGGTGTATTCTATGCAGCACTATGCGTAAATCTCCCTAAGGATCCTCATTCTGTTGTTCATGATACACACATACAGTCATAGAATGTGAGTTTGAAATGCTCAAACAGAACTCAGCAAGGTTAAGTATGGTCTTGGCATATTTCATTCCCTGTCATTGTCTGATTCCAATTCTAGCAATAATCAGCAGAGCACTTTCCTAGGACTTTCCTAAGGAACTCGAGGAAGAAGAATGGGAGGGAGACCAGGGCAAGGTGAAGTATCAGGGAAGGCTTTAACCCAAGAGGTTGGTCAGAAAGTACTGAGAGCTACTACAGACCCCTCTTGCCGCCCCAGTGAAATGGTGTAATCTTACCTAAAGCCAGATGAAATTCAGAGTCAAAAAATTATTTTTATGTCAATTCTCTGAGCGAAAAAAATTAAGAAATCCAAACAGAAATGCTAGGTAAGTGTTTAGCTATTCAGTGGGTAGTCCGGCTCCTTCGCCCTATGCCAAGAGAGATTCTATAGACACCAAGAGGGCGGCAGGCGGAAGGACACAGAACAGACCCAGGCCACCTTTCAGAGTGAAGAAATCAAAGTGACAGGAAGGTGGCCTGACCTTCCATATATCAAATGTGGGGCATATACCCTAAGCTAAATTAGGATAGGAGATTCTCGTCACCAGACCTAGCAACATGTATGACTCACACAGTTAAGCCACTTCATGATGGCAACCCAATTTGCACCCTGCTGCCCTTCTGATTATCTCTCATCTTTTTTTTCGAAATCTTTTAAAAAACTTTTTTTTTACTTTAAGAATAATCAAATCAAAATGAAAACTGGGTGGTCGTGAGACATTTAAACTCCCTGCTCCTAGGTCTCCACTGGTGTCATTTTGACAGCTTTCAAGGCTGCGCCCCAAATGTTGCATTTCATCAACATCACTCCTTCCAGACCCAAGCTCTGAATTTACACACCAGGCAGAAGTGTTTCTTCGCCTGGGGATTCTCAGGATGCCAGGCTCGGCCAAATGGGAACAGCTTTCCTTCTAGACCACAGTCTTGTGGCCCACCTTGGAGGCTGAAATAAAGCTACTGTACTCAGCCTCCCAACCTCACCCAATGCCCACTAATAACATCTGCTTTATAGCCATCATTCCTTCAACCTGCTCCCTCCTTGGCTCTCTCGCCCTCTCCAAGAGGATGTGCTCTACTATGCGGCAGGTCTGGTGGAAAGCTGACAGTCTCCAAGCCAAGAACGAAAGCAGCCAGCGCTGGATAAACGACTTGAAGTGCTTTCTCCAGGGACCCCTTCCAGGTACAGGAGCCCTTCTTAACCAGATTTGGCCTGTGCTGGCAGACAGCCTTGTTCAGGAGCACATTAAAAATCAAAATACAGACACCGTTTGGAAAGCATAGAAAGCTTGACTCTAACATCTTATGTATTAAAACATTGTTACATAAAAATGACCACAAAGCTCCAAATTCATACTTTCCTACCTTGTGAGACCCGTTGCCACCAAGAATAAACCTGTGAAAGTGTGAGGCCAACTGTGGAGCCTCAAGAGGCCTGGGGATAAGGCTGGAACCACATTCCAAGCCTTGGGGGCAAGATCAATGCCCTGGCCCTTGAGAGCAGCCCAGCCTAAAGCGAAGTGGGTGAGCGGGTGCTCTCATCTCATCACCACATGAGTCTGGGGGCAAACAGCAGCCTGAGCCAGGGTGGAGCCGATAGTCTCTTCTGAGGCCCCCTTTCATGTACCCCATAAAGCCCCAGACAGATTGGCACAGCTCACAGTTTTTAATGAAGCGTGGGCTCCTGGCTGGAGCCAAAGGGGCATTACAGACTCAGAATGAGGCTCTTTCATACCCTCTGAGATGGTGATATAGAAGCGCCAGACTTCTGGAACAACTTTCTGCTGAGGAACTCAATGCTTGTCATGGAACCCGTTTCATTTTTTCTCATCAGATCTTAGTGACATCCAGGATGGATAATTTTCATCTTTGTTTTGATGCAGATCTGAAGCAGAGCCTTGAATAATTCAGGTAACCAGCCAGCACTAGAGCTAGAATGCAAATCTCCTACGCACTGACTATGTGAGGACGTTTATAGGAAGCTTATCAGAGGTCAGGCACTGCTAAACTTTACATGCATTGCCTCATTCAATCATGACAACAGCCCTGTGAGAAACCTGCCTTTTCTCTTTTATACACGAGGAACCCTGAGTACAGAGAATTTAAGGCCATAAGTTTGCCCCATTCTCTCCCTCCTCAGTAAACATAATGCCTTTTACATCCATCCAAATGTCAATGAATAAGATGTGCTATGTGTGCCTGAACACTTGGAAGATAAAGTATTTTGGAGTCAGTTGGAACTTGTTTAAACCCTGACTCTAACACTTCCTAGCTGTGTGATCCTGAGAAATCTCAATTTCTTTATTTATAAAATGGGGGCATCTAAAGACTCAGGACCTCTGCACCGGACAATACAAAGCAATAGAATACAACGTAAATGGTGTCATCTAGAATTGCGTTGATTGAATGTTCCTGCCAAGACTTCAGCAATTCCAAACTGTGAATAGATTCCATTTGCCTTTACCCCTCCAGAGACAGTATGGTAGGTATCCTGAAAAGAAGAGGCCCTTTGAGTCCAGCATTCTCAGACTTGAGTCATCATTCTTCCACATAGTGACTGTGTGACCCTGAGTCACAAGCCCTCTGCACCTCCATTTCCCTATGTGGAATTGGGAATAAATTGGTAATAAAGATGTTCATCTGGAGGAATTGTAAAGATTTTGGTTCTTGTAAGTGGCATACCATAACAAAAACCTAAAATGTGGGAATAGCTTTAGAACTGAGCACTGAGCAGAAACTAGACAAGCTGTAATGATTTTAAGAGTATTAGTGAAATATTAAATGCATTTGAATGCACTTCTTATATAATTCTGGACTTTGGCTGTTGGAGAGGATTTAAAGGAAATTGAGGAAAATCTTATTGGAAACTGGAAGAAAGGGGATCCTGATTATTAAGTGGAAGAAAAGTTTAGCAACACTGTCACCTGCAGTTATGTGGAGAGCAGAAAGTTTACCCAGCAAACTGGGTGATCTGGCTGAGGACAATTCCAGCCAGAGTGGTAAAGTGCCACCTGGTTTCTTCTTACTGCTTGTAAGAGATAAGATTGATATATAAGGCCTGGCGCAGTGGCTCATGCCTGTAATCCCAGCATTTTGGGTGGCTGAGGAAGGCAGATCACTTGAGGTCAGGAGTTCGAGACCAGCTTGGCCAACATGATGAAACGCCATCTCTACTAAAAATATAAAAATTAGCCAGGCATGGTGGCGGGTGCCTGTAATCTCAGCTACTCGGCCAACATGACGAAACCCCATCTCTACTAAAAATATAAAAATTAGCCAGGCATGGTGGCGGGTGCCTGTAATCTCAGCTACTCGGGAGGCTGAGGCAGGAGAATCACTTGAACCCAGGAGGCGGAGGTTGCAGTGAGCTGAGATTGTGCCACTACACTCCAGCCTGGGCAACAGAGCAAGACTGTCTCAAAACAAACAAACAAACAAACATAAAGACTGATATATAAAAGACTGTTAAATTGAACAAGCTGAAAACCATTAAAACCACTAAATACAATGGCTTTGAAAATTCTCAGCCCTTTCAGATGACAAATGCTGATAAATTTTAGAAAGAGCTTGCAAGCAAAAATCAAACTGGGACACTGCAAGGAAGACATTATGCTTCACACCAAAGACCCACTAAAGATTTAAAGGGTTTGAGTCACAGATTTATTCATTTAAACAATAGAACTTTTAAGAAGTGGAGGACATTGTCCATCCAAAGAAATTTATAGTTTTTAAATTAAAAAGAAAAAAGGCTTCTCTTGAAGAGATCTATGCCTTTTTATCTACTGGAGTAAACTCCAGTAGGATTCACAGAAGACTTATGAAATTTTTAAAAGAATGATATCAGGCCAGGTGTGGTGGCTCATGCCTACAATTCCAGCACTTTGGGAGGCTGAGGTAGGTGGATCACTTGAGCCCAGGAGTTCAAGACCAGCCTGGGCAACATGGCAAAACCCTGTCTCTACCAAAAATACAAAAAAAAAAAAAAAAAAAAAAAAAAAAAAAAAACTAGCCAGGCATGGTGGCCTGTGTCTATAGTCCCAACTACTTGAGAGGCTGAGGTGTGACTATCACTTAAACCCAGAGGTCAAGGTCAAGGCTGCAGTAAGCCATGATCACACCAATGCACTCCAGCCTGGATGACATAGCAAGACACTGGCTCAAAAAAAAAAAGGCCAGCCATGGTGGCTTACATCTGTAATCCCAGCACTTTGGGAAGCTGAGGCGAGCGGATCACGAGGTCAAGAGATTGAGACCATCCTGGCCAACATGATGAAACCCCATCTCTAGTAAAAATACAAAGATTAGTTGGGCATGGTGGCATGCGCCTGTAGTCCCAGCTACTCAGCAGGCTGAGGCAGGAGAATCACTTGAACCCGGGAGGCAGAGGTTGCAGTGAGCTGAGATCATGCCATTGCACTCCAGCCTGGCGACAGAGCAAGACTCAGTCTCAAAAAAAAAAAAGATATTGATATCAGCAGAAACACCCCCAGCTTTGAGAGGCACAGAGAAAAGGACAAAATGAAAAGAGGCTGTTGAACCCCAAAATGTATATAGATAAGAAACAGGTTGAGAAAACTACTCAGCCACAAACACATGATGTTTTCTTGAAAAAAGGATGACTCAGAGAGAATCAAGAGTCCAGAAAGCAGAGCCAGGAGTGAATAGAATAACTGCTACTCAGGAGTGTGACTGAGACCCAATCAAGGAGCTTCTGAGTTTGCCCAACTGGATTTCAGACCTGCTAGTGATCGTTGTGTGCTTCCCACTCTGCCCATCTTTGGGCAGGAATATCAATAGTGGTTATCCAATGTCTAGCTAAGCCTGTATGTTGAGTGTGGGGGACAAATAACTTGTCTTTGCAGCCCACAGGTGTATGGATAGAAAGAAATGGTACTCAAGGAACTGTCCATATGGAATTACACCTGACAAGCCTCATCTGCACCCAGGCCTGAATATATGACAATAATCTAGACCTCAGGTTTATGCTCTAATGGGATGAGACTTTTGGGGAACTTATGAGGAGTTAAGAGTATTTTGCCTATGGAAGGGATATAAATCATAAGAACCCAAAAGATGGACTGTGATCACCAACCTCCAAGGTGGCACCTATAATTTACACCCTCAGATAGTCTTCTTCTATCTTGTACCAGAATTGGTCTACGTGACCAAAAGAATAGAGTGGAAGTCGTGTTCTATCACTGTGGCTTCTGTCTTGTCCTCACTCTTGGGTCACTCATTCTGGAGGAAGCCAACTGCCATGTCATGAGCAGCTCTATGAAAAGGCCCACAGGGTGGAAAACTGAAGCCCCCAGCCAACAGCCACGTGCATGAGCTCAGGGGTGGACTCACCAGCCCAGCCAAGTTTTCAGACGACGGCAGCCCCAGCCTACATCTTGACTGAACCCACACAAGCAACAGAGCCAAAATCACCCAGTGAAGTTGCGCCTGGATTCCTGACCCTCAGAAAGTATATGAATAATAAATATCTGTTTATTAAACTGATAAGTTTTGGGGTAATTTGTTACATAGAAATAGATAACAAATACAGATAACTAATACGGAAAAATGTTAAAGTGTGGCATTAATATGGTTAAAAACAACAAATGTCTATGTGGTTAAAAGTACATATATTTATTATCTTAAGATGATTTTTAATAACAGACCTGGAGTGTGATAATTAAGACTTGTTTGCCGCATGTCACACTATATATGATATACAGAAAATGTTTTCAAGAGTCAAGGTGTCATCCCTGGAGAAAGGAACACAAACCTATAACCTATTAGTGGTCAGGGAGGTAAATCTTTTGCTTTTCACAGCATGCCAAGAATGTCTTTTGAGTGATCTCCTTTTGATACATGTTTGGTGCCAGAACAGCTCTGTAACTGGGGGAAATGCTAGAGGTTATTGTTTTGCATGCTCCCACCTGGGAGTAAGGCGGGGAGTGGATTTTAATCCACTTCAAAGAGCCTAAAAAGGCATAGGATTCAGTGAAAACTGAGATGGGCCTTCGAGTGACCATAGCTCAACTCCTGGATCCCCAACTTAGGAAAGAGTTTTCAAGCCCAGTACAACAGCCAGGGTGGAGACCGGGACGGCAGAGACAGAGGGCTGGAAGAACCTAAAAAGAGTGAATTCTGTGAACCAAAGTTTCCACGATATTGAGGATAACTGAGGCATCTTCCTCGCCTCTGACTGTGACAAAACAAGCTGGAACTGACTGGAACTAAATAAAGCGACAGGAAAGGGAGGACGTTCTTGTCAGCAATCCTCCGTTTCAGCGGGTTGTTTTGACTACAGAGTGAGTAGCACTCATCATACCGAGAATTGACAAGAACTAATCTTCTTCATGGTCAAAATACATCTCCTTGGCTTCTTGTATTTCAGAAATCGTCGTCTCCTGCCTCATTCTGACCACATTAGAACCTGGGGTCGTTGGACCACATTTTTTTTTTTTTTTTGACCCTACCCAGCAGCAGTTTAGATGTCTTTTTCATTACTCTCTTTTTCTTTTCAATGTTACTTTAGTGCCAGTGCAGGGAGCCAGATGGAAACTAAAGCCCTCTGTTTATGACTGAACAGGTACACCACAAACAGCAGTGCAAATGTTCCACCCCACTGCCTCCCACACACCCAGACTGCCCCAAGCCCCACCTGGAAGGACCAGCTTCTAGCAGGGGGATGATGGTTCCATTTCTATGCTTATTGAACCTGGTAATATTTGCTTAAGAACATTTGAATAGAGGCCCCTCAGAAAATTCACATTTCCATATTTACTGGGGGATTTTTGTTTATTACAAATGAGGTTAAGAAACCATTCTGTATACTTGCTAAGTGAAAAGAAGCAGGCTACTAAAGAACATGCCAGTAATCTTAATTTAATAAGCATTTTTTTAGCATTGACTATACCTCAGGACCTGTGCCGGGCACATAAGGTGAGTATAGATGAGGCTATGCGAGGAGTGTTATAATCCCCATCTTTCAGTTGAGAGAAGGAGGAGCAAAGAGGTAAAATAACTAGCCTAATAGAAGATGATTACTTCTGGGAAGTAGGGGAGGGGTGCAGCGGGCAGCAGCTTGTACCTTTTTATACTGTTAGAATTTATCATAAGCATATATTATTTTGATGCATTTGACAAGATGTGACAAGGAAATAATTGCATCTTTTTAAGAAAATCATTTGCTTAAAGTCACAGAGCTAGTAAGTGACCCAGTCAAACTCCAGAACCTGGTTTATGGGGCTCCCCAGTGTAGGAGCTTCCTCACTCTGCTATGACCTTATTGTTGGAAAATGGATTTTATAACCATTGGCCAACACGTGCATAGCAGTTACCTCTGTGAGGCAGTCTAGGGACACTATGGTAGCAGAGTGACTACATAAACTATCCTTCAAACTGGGACACTCTTGAGAGCGAAAGGGGGCACTACTTGGACTGAGACTGTCCTAGGAGCACTAGGATGTATAGCCTGATTGTGAGTGACTGTTTTCATTATGCCATGTACAGACAGTCCCCAACTTAGGATGGTTCGACTTATGATTTTTCATCTTTACAATGGTATGAAAGCCATACACATTCAGTAGAAACCCTATTTCAAGTGCTGTATTTTGATCTTTTCCAAGTTTAGTGATATGTGGTACCACACTCTCTCACGATGCTGGGCAGGCGCAGTGAGCCACAGCTCCCAGTCAGCCACACGACCACGAAGATCAAAAACTGAGTCTCTGCAGGGCACTGTGTTGCCAGCATTTTTTGGATACCATGTTTTGTGTTTTCACATGCCATCTTGTCCACAAAATGGCCATCTATGTCTCCTGCTTCTGGTACAGAATTTAATAAATTACATGAGATATTCCACACTTTATTATAAAATAGGCTTTGTGTTAGATGATTTTGCCCAACTGTAGGCTAATGTAAGTGTTCTGGGCATATTTAATGTAAGTGTTCCAGGCTAAGCTATGATGCTCAGTAGGTGAGGTGTGTTAAATGTATTTTTGATTTACAATATTTTCAACTTATGATGGGCTTATTGGGACGTAACCTTGTTGTAACTTGAAGAGCATCTGTATATCAAATATTCTGCCTTAAGCATGTATTATTTAATAAGTAGAGGGACAGTATTGTGTACCTTTAAAAAAAAAAGAAGAAACCAGTAATTCTAACTCTTGTGAGTCTGTATTCTTTTCATTCAAATCATAAAGCTAAATTCACATAAATCAAATTATTTACCACCATAGTCATATAGTGCTAACAGCCATAAATGTGGCAATCACTGTGATTGAAATGCTAATGTTTCATAAGAGTGGGTGGAAACCACTCTTTCAGTTACCCCTCACCAGGAGCAGGGGAGCAACCCTCAGTTCATGGCTTTCGCAGTACAGGTGGCAAACCCAGAGGTTATGTAACCCTCCCCAGAGGTTACCCTGCAAGTTAGTCAGCTTCCACTCCACCTATTGCCGACTTCCGCTGTTCCACCAAGCTGAAAGACAGTTTCCAGTTCTCTGCGGCTATTCATAACTTTCTCCAAAAAAATGAAAGCCAGCTTCGGAAGAACGTATGTGTTACCTTGGCCACATCGTGAACCAATACACAAACACCATTTACATCCAGGCAAGACTATCAGTAAATAATGTAACCTGACTCAAAACAGAACATGAACATTTCTCAGTAGGGGCAGCCTCGTCTGGACCAGTTCAGATGACTAAGGAACCTCAGGAAGTGGAACCATGAATCAGAAAGAGACCTCCTTTCCTCTGACTCAATGCTGAGCTCATGAGCCCAGGTGGTGTTGGAGGATACTGTGTTGCTGGAGGTGCTGAACGCCTCACAAATATACAGAAACTAAGGAAAAACTTATGACTTTTGCCTCTACTCCGTAAACCAGGCTCTGTGATCACATGGTATTAATTACTTTTCGTATATTATTTAATCTCATGATAGTATGTGTTCCAAGTTATCGCCCCATTTTAAAAGTAAAGAAACTGAGGCTCAGAGGGCTTCCCAAAGCCCCACAACCAAGTTTGTTCATTGCCAGTGCTTTTCCATTATATTACACTGCCTCTCAAGGGAAAGCAATAAGAATTTAAACAGTGTAGAACATTCTCTGAGCCTCCTCCTAGTCATCATTTTTACTATGGTCTTTGTCACTTCAATTTAGATAAGCTCTTATCAGTAGTAACAGACCTTTTAAATACTTATTTCATTTCTTCCATTCTATTCACAAACTTGAGAAAGTATTTACTACATAATTTTGAATATAGTTATAATAATTAGAGTATTAGCTATTTTTCTCCCACATACAGAGAGGTCTAACATGTATTAAGGAATTAAGAAGAGAGTGAAGAGTGTGCTTTTTCAGGAGTGCATTAACTCCAGCCTCAAAAGCAGTGCATGAGCAGCCCATGTGTCTCTGGGTGCACTGAACCCCCCAAAAGGAATGAGAGCCGCAGATGACCACACGTGGCCCCTGTGGTTAGGTAGGCTGAAATCTGGCGGACTCCTCAAACGCGGTTTGGAGCCTCTCAACTTAGACGCAATGCTTGCAATTTGGATTTTTACCACTAGGTGGATGGTAGTGCTTTGTATATTAATGGTTTTGCTGAATCCTAGTAAGCTTTCCCCAGCAACTGATAAACATTTACATTTATAAAGTAAGTTCCACCAGCTTTAATTAAAGACTATAAACTCCACTGAAAAACAAGACTTTACAACTCAAACAGGATGAGAGAACAATAAAATCGTGGTATAAAAATTTAGTTTGTAATACACAATCTCAATTATACTGTTTTGTAAAAATAACTGCTTTCTTTCTTTATAAAAAATTAGAATTAACAAATCTGATTTTGGATGAAGAGTGCTTTTTCATATTGCTATAATTCACTGCCTTTCTCCCTAAAATTCAGTTACTGCTGATAATTGCTAAACCTAATGCTGGTTTTACTTTTTCTATTTTTAAAAGGGAAATTTAACTTTTTTTCCTGTGTTCCTTTTGTTTTGTTTTGTTTTTCCAGTGGTCAGGAGAGTCTCAGGCTGCAAATGTGACTGAGGCGAGAAGCAGTGACAGCCTCTCATGCTGCAGCTATTCCATAACCTGCGCACTTCTGGAAAGATGGTACTTACAGTCCTTCCTCCAGCTGGTATGGCTATTGTGTGGTAAAAGACATGGGTGGTTCTTGATTTGTTCCACTTCCTGGTGACTATCTCCGTGCCTGTCCTTTTCCAATTGTGAACAATTTATTTCTCCAAGGAACACCTTTCTATTCTAATTCCTCGACCTTTGAATCCTAGAAGCAGCATAAAACTATAATAATAAATATAAGTAACACATTGTACTTAAACCCATCGCAGCACTAGGCATTTTATATATATTCACTCATTTTAAGCAACAGCACACCAAATATTTAAGATTATCTATAAAACATCCTAAATAGCTTCATACCTCCTTTTTTTTTTTTTTTTTTTTGAGACAGAGTCTCGCTCTGTCACCCAGGCTGGAGTGCAGTGGCACGATCTCGCCTCACCACAACCTCCGTCTCCCATGTTCAAGCAATTCTCCTGCCTCAGCCTCCCAAGTAGCTGATTACAGGTACGCGCCATCACACCCGGCTAATTTTTGTATTTTTAGTAGAGATGGGGTTTCACCATGTTGGCCAGGCTGGTCTCAAACTCCTGACCTCAAGTGATCTGCCCACTGACAGCAGCAGCACCGTCATCTCAGACAAACACCACCACTTTAAGTTCCAGCTCCCTTTCTAGCCTCATGCATTTCAAGGAAATCACTTCTCTTCTAACTATAAGCAGCCAGAAATAGCAGAGAGTAAAACACAGATAAGACAGCTCAGGCATAAAGGGAGGTGGGGGAAAAGTTCCTTGGGTAACTGCCAATCTTCACCCTCATGCAATGGGCCCCAGTAAAACAGTGGGCCTTAATAAGCACATTCCTTTCCCTTCAGGTGCGCTAAAATAGGGAAGCTAAAAGCAGACTCGGGGGTATGCCTGCAGCTGCAAAAAGATGCATGGGAACAGACACACAACTCTCCCTCTCAGATAAGCACAACAAAGAGTCACAGAAGCAGTCCAAGCCTCTGATAAACTCTCATACCCTAAATCCTTAACAACTTTTAGTGTATAAGAGAGTGTGGCTCTGACCTAACTCGGCCAGAAGTCCCTCTCAGATTTGTTTCCTAAAATAAACCTGTCCTTGTGAACTGGCAAGCCACCCTTCACGTTTCTCTCCTCTTTCTTTAATTCTTACACCCGCCTCAGCCTCCCAAAGTGCTGGGATTACAGGCATGAGCCACAGTGCCCGGCCATACCTCCTTTTTAAATGTTTTTTGCAAAGCATCTATTGAAGAATGCCATTTTTAAGCAGAGATAGTTCATATGTTCACACATATACATTAATATGAATAAATACATCATCACATATACATACTTCTCACCTCTTCTTGGTATATTATTTTCCCAGGTGGTTTGTGGCTCTCTGAATGGTAATCTTCCCTCTTAACGCTGCCTGTCATTCCTCCACTATACCTTGCTACTCAAGAGCATGGCTCTGTGACCAGCAGTAACTGCATTAACTAGGAGCTTGTTAGAAAAGAGGAACCATGGGCTCTCTCCTGACCGACTGAATGAAAATCTGCAGGTGACAAGATGCCCAGGTGAACTGCATTCAGTTACCATCTGAGATGTGCTGCCCTTCCCAACACATCTGATTGGGAAGATGATCACATCATTAAGGAGTTAGGCATTAGGAGCAACTGCAGTGGCAAGGCCAGAAAAAGTTGATAAGTAACACAGGAGTGCCAACCGAGCATTCCAAAAAGGGCCACTAATTAAATGTTCATAGTACACAAAAGAATTATACTTCTCCATGGTGAGTAGTAAGTAATTAAGGTAGGGCCATTCTTTTTTGATGTTGGGGGTAAATATCCTTGCCCTGATGCAAAGGAAAACCTAGCACTAATATCAGAAAACAAGAAGTATTTTCCTAAAATATTTGATCCTATGGACAAAATACTGCACGTTAGCAATCCACCTCTTTTCAAACATGCCTACTCAAAGTTAGTCAATTGTCTCCCCTTTTCAGGTTAATTCATAACCGTAAGAAACATGGCTGTGCTTTGGTCAAGGATAGGCTGAGGTAAACATCCTGAGTGACTCAGCGAGTTTACAGCACAGGCGTATAACTCCACTTGTTATCACAGCCATGTAGCCATGAGATGGGAAGGCCATTCCTTGGCCCTAAGCCGCTATTGTCTGTAAAAGGTATAATTGCCTTGTTGACACTGTGCAGGCATGCTGGCACCAGAGACAGTGTCAAAGCTGTTCGTCTTTGGAGATGGACAGAGGAGAGCCAGGACACAGCTTGGCTCACTTGTGCCCAGAGAGAGAGAGTTAAGCTGCTGACCCTGAAGGCAAGGGAGAGCCAGCTGCACAGCTGCATGTGGGAGCTGGACTAAGCAGCTGAGACAGGCAGACAGTGTGAGAAAGCGTTGATGAGAGCTGCTGCTGAATAAAACCATCTTTCACCTGCCTACGGCCCCCAGGTGTTCTTCCTGCTCATCCACTCACTCCCTCCAGACTGCAGCATGGGCTGGTACCTGACCCTGAACATAATTGGTGTAGTCGGGAACCTGACAATAACTAAATGAAGCAGGACATATTCATAAATGGTCACGTATCCAGAATAGCATGTGTTTCTGTGAAGGTCTTCCCCTCACACCCGATGCTTTCTTCTACAACTGTAAAAATGCTTCAGCAAACTCAGCAATGTTCTTTAATATTTGAGATAGTTAATTAAAATTGAGGAGTCCTGAAATGCCTAGTTAATTAAAATTGAGGAGTCCTGAAATGCCTTCTTTAGATGCCAAGAAGCAATGAGTGTTTTTAGCAACTGTTGAACTATGTGTTTGTGAAATTTAGACTCAGAGGAGGTGATTTGCAAGAGGTTACAGCTGCTGCCACCCTGGCTGCTGTTGCCCTGTCTCCCGGGTTGCTGCCAAGTTGGGGCTGGTGGTTTTGAACTTTAGGAGAGGGAGAGAATTCACTGGCAATAGGAGGATGAGAGAGGAGTGAAGTGCGTGGGAATTGCGTGGCCTCTCCTCTACACTATGGATAGTAATTTGGGGTTCTTGAATACCTATTCCAGATCGTGCCTTCCTGGAATCCCTGTTTGATGCTCTAGCTTAACATTTAAAAGCAAATGTAAGAAAGTTCATCACAGCCAAGCATGGTGGCTCATACCTATAATCCCACACTTTGGAAGGCTGAGGTGGGAGGATCACTTAAGGCCAGGAGTTCGAAACCAGCCTGAGCAACATAGCAAGACACTCCCACCAACCCCGATCTCTACAAAAAATTTAAAAATTAGCCAAGCATAGTAGTACACACCTATAGTCCCACCTACTTAAGAGGATGAGGTAGGAAGATCGCTTGAGCCTGGAAGTTCTAGGCTGCAGTGAGCTATGATTGTACCACTACATTCCAGCCTGGGTGACAGAGCGAGACAAAAGGAAGGGAGGGAAGAAGAAGGAGGGGAGGGCAGGGAAGGGGAGAGGAGAGGAGGGGAGGGGAGGAGAGGGGAGGGGAGGAGAGCAGAGGGGAGGGGAGGGGAGGCAGCTGATTTCAAGTCTATACTCCAGGTCTGACTGAGCATCAAACACAGGCTTCAATCTCTTTTTTTGGACAAGCCACATGCGTATTATGTCATACCCCCAAATTCATGCAGCAAATCACATACATCATCTTTTCCCCAAAACCTAGTTTCCACTGAGTGACATCTTCATCCTGCAAGTCACTCAGAGTTAAAATCTCAGATAAAAAATTTCAGAACCATCTTTAAGAACTTTTCAACCCCAGACCCGCCCCAACCAATCATCAGGGCCTATCGGTTTCGTCCAACTGTCTCTCTCTGAAATCTTTCTCAGTGGTTTACTGGTCAAATGGTTTCCCATAAAATGAATTTCTTTAAAGCTTTCATTTGCAGTGTTTGCCAATTTCTGTGGTGTAAATATTTCCACTATGGCCAATTTCAAGCTACCAAAGGTTTAACATCCAGCTCCTAAAATACTTAAAAATTTAACAATATGTTCGTGAGAGCCAGGGCTCCTTTCTAATTCTACTGCTGCCTCCTTACTTCAGTCACTTTTTATTTCCTGAACTATTTAGAAGCTGCCCACTTCTGGCCCCATTACATCTATGAATAAAATACTTTATTTGTTGTTTATAAAACAAATGCCAAGAACCTCATCTAGTGTGCAAAGCCTCGCACAGTAGGGTCTAATTTGCCTTTTTCATCTCATCTCCTCTACACTCCCCACCCACCACCTCCTCCTCCACACTCACATACATACACACACACGACTCTTATGCCCCAGCCCCAGAGAGACACTTAGCATTCTCTCAGCAATGCACAGGGCAGTTCAGTTCAAAAGACTTTTAACAAATACCTACTAATACAGTTTGGATATTTGCCCCACCCAAATCTCATGTTGAAATCTAATCCCCAAAATTGGAGGTGGGGCCTGGTGGGAGGTGACTGGATCATGGAGGTGGATTTCTCATAGATAATTTAGCACCGCTCCTCTGATGCTGTCCTTGCAATGGTAAGTTCTCACCAGATCTGGTTGTTTAAAAGTGTGCGGCACCTCCCCCACCTTTATGTTCCTGCTTTTGCCATGTGATGTGCCAGCTCCCACTTCACCTTCCACCATGACTGGAAACTCCCAGAGGCCTCCCCAGAAGCAGATGCCGCTATGCTTCCTGTATAGCCTGCAGGAACATGAGCCAATGAAACCTCCTTTCTTAGCCAGGTATGGTGGCTCACACCTGTAACCCTAGCAATCTGGGAGGCCAAGGGAAGCAGATTGCTTGAGCTCAGGAGTTCAAGACCAGCCTGGGAAACATGGCAAAACCTCATCTCTACAAAAAATATTTACAAAATAATTAGCCAGGCTTGGTGGCTCACACCTGTGGTCCCAGCTACTCAGGAGGCTGAGGTAGGAGGATCACTTGAGCATGGGCAGAGGTTGCAGTGAGCCAAGATCGTGCCACTGCACTCCAACCTGGGCGACAGCCCTGTCTCCAAAAAGAAGAAAAAAACAACAACCTCTTTTTTTTATAAATTACGTGGCCTCAGGTATTTCTTTATAGCAATGCAACAACAGCCTAATATACCTACCATGTGCCAAATATTGTGCTAGGCTAAATAAGACATGGTCCCTGCCCTTCAGGAACATAGAATCCCATGTACTTTCATTCTCTGTGGTTATGTTTACACTATTACTTCAGTCAGAAACTCCCATCTCTGCCTTTATTCATTCAAAAAGCATTTACTGAGTGCCTACGAGGTGCCAGACTTTGTGCTAGGTTCTGGAAAGACAAAAATGAAAAAGACACAGTGTCTACCTCTGCCTACTAAGCCAGACAGTAGTGGGTGATGTGCAGGTGTAGGGAGGGAACTCCAGCTCTCTTGTCCTGTTGGGATCAAGGAAGACTTTGCTGAGAAAATAGTGCTGTAATTGAAGATGAGTACAGAATTTGTTGCTGAAGGAAGACAAAGGTCAGATCATAAAGGGCTCTGTAAATGTCATGTTTCCTAGTTGATACTCCTTATTACAGAATCTACCTTGATTAAACAAGGGAAAAACTGATTATGAAGATACAGATGCCTCTGATGCAATCTGGTGAAAAACTGAACAGCCAGGTCCCAGGAAGAGCTGGAACTTAGCTCCAGGACCTCAGTTACACAAGTTTACAAGCTTTTACTTCAAAGCTCTGAATTAACGTGACTGAGCCCCCAAGAGCCTGTTCTCGTGTCTCTCAGTTTAAATGCAAAAGAGAATCTGATTGGCCCAGCTTTGGTAAAGAATGCATCCTGCTTCAATCAGCTACAGCCAGGGCAGGATCACATGCAAAAAATGATCACTCAGAGAATAGAGATCCCAGGCTCAGCAGATCACCTCAAAATTGTCTCCTCTTGTCAGAAATATAATTCCCCAAGCCTGGGGACAGAAAAATGACAGCCAATTTTATTCATTAGGAATGCTTTTGACTGCAAATGATACAAACCTTGTTATAATGGCTTAAGCACAGAAAAATTAATTATTCTCATACGCCAGGAAATCCAGCTGTAGGGATTACAAGTGTTCATTCAGCAGAACTCCAGTCCTAACACTGATATCTCTGTGATTCTTTTGACTTCTCATAATCATGTGCTATTGTAGTTTCAGTTATGACTTACACATTCAAAGCTTTAAAAAGAAGAAAGAAAGGTACGAACTGTGTTTCTTCCCTTTGATCAGGAGAGCCCAAAAGATTTCCTAGAAACCTCCCAGGATACTTCTGCTTAGTTATCATTGCCACACCTAGGTCACATGACCACACCTCACAAGGGGGATTGGGGAAACAGGAAATGAAGTCTCATAGTTGGCTGAGATTAATCATGAACATGAGAAAAATAATTGAGGTTTGTGAGTGTCCAGCAGCAGACAACTGGATAAAATAAACACAGTATATATACACAATGGAATCCTATTTAGTCATGAAAAAGGAGATCCTGTCTTCCTTCTCTATGCGGATGAGCCTGGAGGACATCGTGTCAAGTGAAACAAGTCAGGCACAGAAAGATACCACCCATTCTCATTCCTATATGGAAGCTAAAAAAGTTGATCCCATAAAAATAGAGAGTAGAATTGTGGTTACCGGAGGCTGGAAAGGGTAAGAGGGAAAGGAGAATAAAGAGAGGTTGGTTAAAGGATAGAAAATGACAGCTGGATGGGAGGAATAAGTTCTGGTATTTTATGCACTGAAGGATGACTATAGTTAACAATAACTTGTTGTATGTTTTCAAATAACTAGAAGAAAGGATTTTGAATGTCTCCAACACAAAGAAATGAGAAATGTTTAAGGGGATGAATATGCTGATTACCCTGATTTGATCATTACACATTGTATACATGCATTGAAATATCACTCTGTATCCCATAAATATGTAATAATATAATTATTATGTGTCAATTAAAAATAATTTTATATATATACATAAATTACAGTCTGTGTGGCAGACAGACTCTAGGTGACTCCCAATGATGGTATTTATACCCTTGTATAATTTATTTCCATTGAATGTGAGTGGGACCTGTGATTTTCTTCTAGCCAATAGAAATGACAAAAGTGATGGGGCATCACTTCTGATTACGTTGCATTATATAAGATTCTGTCTGGCTAAGATTCATGCTAGAGACTCTCTCCATAGCTGACTATGTTGGGAGCCCCATGTGGCAAGGGGCCGAGGATGGCCTCTCACAGCTAAGGCAACAGGAAGCTGGGATTTTCAGTCCTATGACCATAAGGAAATAAATTCTGCCGACAACCTGCCTGACCTTAGAAGTAGGTTCTTCCTCAGTCAGGCCTCTAGATAAGAATGTAGCCCAGGGGCCAGGCACAGTGGCTCATGCCTGTAATCCCAGCACTTTGGGAGGCTGAGGCAGGTTGATCACTTGAGGTTAGGAGTTCGAGACCAGCCTGGCCAATATGGTGAGACCCCATCTTTACTAAAAATACAAAAATTAGCCAGGCGTGGTGGCACGCACCTATAATCCCAGCTACTCGGGAGGCTGAGGCAGGAGAATTGCTTGAATCCGAGAGCAGAGGTTGCAGTGAGCCGAGATTGCGCCACTGCACTTCAGACTGGGTGACAGAGCAAGACTCCGTCTCAAAAAAAAAAAAAAGTTCCAAGAACTTGAGCATGGCCACAGATGCCTGCATGGAGGTC
Organism: Homo sapiens; assembly: GCF_000001405.40. Taxonomy (NCBI): domain Eukaryota; kingdom Metazoa; phylum Chordata; class Mammalia; order Primates; family Hominidae; genus Homo; species Homo sapiens. The sequence continues at coordinate 27,813,147 of NC_000012.12, read as the reverse complement.
AGGCTCACCAAACTCTGTTTCCTTCCAATTTAACGTTTGAGGGTTTTACTGCATTGATGAGTCAAAGACTGCAAGGTGTATACTCTAATTTCCGTTTTTCCTTTTTTCCTTAGTAATAGATCCTGTATCTGTTTTCATCCGCAGTGTAACAATTTATCACAAACTTAGCACTTTAATACAATACCTATTAGTTAATGCACAGTTCTGTAGGCCAGAAGTCTGGCATGGCATGACTGAGTTCTCTGCTTGGAGCATCTCAAGGCTAAAATCAAGATGTTGGCCATCCTGAGTTCTTGTCTGCAGACTTCAGAGAAAAATCCACTTTTACATTTAGCGTTTTTGTCATTGTCAAGATTTGGTTCCCTGTGGTTGTTAAACTGAGACTCTCGTTTCCTTGCTGGCTGTCGGTGGGGTCATTCTCAGCTCCTGGAGGTACCCACACTCCTTGCCACATGGCCCCTCCGCCTTCAAGCCAGCAATGGCACGTCCAATCATTCTCATGCTCCTAATCTCTGACTTCCTCCATCTCTGACTCTAGATCTAGATTTAAGGGGCTTTTTTTTGAAGGTCAAGCCTACCTAGATAATCTCCGTATCTTAAGATCAACTGATCTGATATATAACATAATCACAGGAGTGACATTTTGTCATATTCACAAGTTCTGCCTCCTACTCAAGAGAAGGAGATTATACAAAGTAAAGATCACCGGGGATATTGTAGAGCTCTGTCTACCACAGACCCCTAGCTTTTAGCTTGACATGTGGATCCCCTAATAAAGATGGCATTTCCCAGCCTCCCTTATAGCTAAGCAAAGCCGTGTAGCTAAGTATTTGCCACAGAAATGCTGTATACCAGCTTCCAAGAGATCTGAAAATACCGCTGGTGTTCAATATTTGTCTCCTTATATTTCGATTCCTTCTTGCCATCTGGGATGTGTCATTTAATGGCTGGAACTCTAGCATCAACTCTAAACTGTGAAATGACAGTAAGAATGACAGTCACATATTAGGATGGTGGGGCAGTAGAATAGAAAGAGCTTGGGGTTCCTAAACCCCATTAGAGAGCTAGACCCAGTGGTGGGCTGGTAAGTGGTAAACAACCAGCTCTCTGGAGGGCGAAGCCCTGATTTGCAGCATGTGCCAATGTCAGTGACGTAAAATCCTCCACAATGGCCAATTTCTTTTTTCCTTTTTTTATTCCTTCTTTCTTTTTTTTTTTTTTTGTTTTTTTTGTTTTTTTTTTTTAGAGATGAAGTCTCACTATATTTCCCAGGCTGGTCTCAAACTCCTGGGCTCAAACGATCCTCCTGCTTTGGCCTCCCAAAGTGCTGGGATTACAAGCATGAGCCACTGCACCCAGCCACACCAATTTCAAGTTACCAGTGTGACATCATTGAACATAGGACTGAGAGGAGGTGCAAATAACCCATTCTCTCAAGTTGGAATAAGCCAGCTGCAGCCACCACTGGCTGTCCTGGCTCTGCACTGCTTATCCTCCAAGCTGCTTTGTCCTCAGAGAAAAATTAACTTCTATCTTATATAACATACTGTTATTTTAGGGTATCTGGCACATGCAGACAAACCTGATTCTATGGTAATGTTCTCCAGTCTTCTCTTTCAGCATTGAAATTTTCTTCACTGGGGGTTTTCTGGGTGCTGAATGCATTTGGATCTAGGCAGGACAGTGGGTATGTGGTGCCAGGTTTTACTCTACACAGCACTCACAGCAGCTGCCGTTTCATTTCAGCCTTCTGCTAGTAAGATTGACCCTGCTCCTTATACAGTAGAGCCCGAATAACTTTACAAACTTCAGAAGGAAATAGAAGGGCAATTGTGCCAGAAAGACAATAACCACCATGCTTTACAGAGACCTTTGAGCAGGCACCATGATGGAAAATATTTTGAAGCGATGCAACAAATCCAGGAGTATGAGACATTAAAACCCCACTTCATTTTACAAAGCTGCCTCTGAAGATCGGTGAAGCTTGAGACCCACAACAGAGCAGAAAAGACTTCAGAACAAATAAACATCAGCACTGCTAGAAAACACCTACTCACCTCTCTGAAAACTGAGCTGGGAAAACAAACAGTCTTTCTTTACATTTTAGTGGCTCCGAATCACCCTGCATGAATCTGCTGCAGTGGAGGGTCTGGCCGTTTTCCCACCAGCCCGGAGGCACAGAGAGCCAGAATACAGCATTCCCTCTCCATCACAGGCATTCACACCAGCAGTGCTGGCTACACTGTGACAGGACAGCTTGGTGGCCACACCCAAATCCAGAATCCAACAATGGCACCAACAATCCTAGGAAATACACAACCTTCCATTTAACTGCTTCAGATCTCTTCCTTCCAAGCATCTCTTCCAAAGAAAATGCGATCTGGAAGTCCTCCCGTACTTCTCTGTGTATGAGTTTGTTTTGTTGTTGTTGTTTGTTTGTTTGTTTGAGATGGAGTTTTGCTCCTGTCGCCCAGGCTGGAGTGCAGTGGTGCGATCTCAGCTCACTGCAACCTCTGCCTCCCAGGTTCAAGCGACTCTCCTGCCTCAGCCTTCTGAGTAGCTGGGATTATAGGAGCCCACCACCACGCCTGGCTAGTTTTTGTATTTTTAGTAGAGACAGAGTTTCACCACGTTGGCCGGGCTGGTCTCAAACTCCTAACCTCAGGTGATCCATCTACCTCGGCCTCCCAAAATGCTGGGATTACAGGTGTGTGCCACCACGTCCGGCTGAGTTGCTGGTTTGTTTTTTTTTTAATAATAGCAATGACTACTTGTGACCCGCCTGCACTCCCTCACCAAAGCCCCTTCTGCAGACATGCCAGATAATGAGGAAGGGGAGCAAGTCACTAAATAACTGGATTTCTTTCAGGGGCACCTTCTGTGAGGTTATGACCTTGATGACCTAGGAGTAGTGATCACAAGAAATATATGCAGCTATCACATATGGAACATCTAGCGCATGTGAGATCCGGTGGGAAGTGTTTACAGACATTTTCTCTGGTAATCCTCACAAGAAACCAATAAGGAAGCTGGCATTATTACCAGCATACCACAAATGAAGAAACTGAGGTCTGTAGGGTTAAATGCAGGTCACTAGCTAGTGAGAATAAAACTGGTATTTTCATCCAGGCCGTTTGACTCCAGAACTCTCAGAAAGGGATATCTGGGGATAGCATTCTGGATCATTCCAGAACAATGCTAAGCATAGGACAAGGGCGTGCATGTCTAGGATGGACTGAGTGCAGGGCCATATCCTCAAGGCACACAGGTGAAGCACTGTAATACTTTTGGAGGTCCATAAAAATGTTTTCATTGTAATTTATTTTAAAACCAGAAGAAACAGCTGGGTGTAGGGGCTCATACCTGTAATCCCAGCACCATTTTGGGAGGCCAAGGTGGGAGGATTGCTTGAGTCTAGGAGTTTGAGAACAGCCTGGGCGACACAGTGAGAGCACCACCATCTCTACAAAAAATCAAAAGTTAGCCAGGTGTGTTGGCACAGGCCTGAAGTCCCAGCTATTTGGGAGGCTGAGGCGGGAGGATAGCTTGAGTTGAGGAGGTCCAGGCTGCAGTGAGCCATGATCATGTCATTACACTCCAGCCTGGGCAACAGAGCGAGACCCTGTCTCTAAAAATATAAAAAAGAAGAAAAACATGAGTATAACAATAATGAATGGGTAATAATGAGTCCAGCCTGGATTATACTGGTCATTATACAGAGTCGTAAAATATGATTTTTAATCTTGTTTTACCAAGGAAGGGACCCATGAAGGCAAAAATGCCGAGGGCCCACAAAAGTCATGAGATGGCTGGAATCCGGGGTAATGTAGATGGCATTGCTGTGGGCAATAACTAGATGGGAAAAAATGTAGAATGTTCTCTCACAATTAGGCTGCCTTGGTTAAAATAAAACGTGTTCCAAATCAATGCCTCAGAAGGATTATGGAGTTGCCACAGTTTGGGCTGTGAAATAGTCCGTGAAGATAATAATAAACAGTGCTAATGAATGTTCCCCATCTGTTCTTTCTCCCCTTAATGGCTATCAGATAAGAGAACGGAATAAATCAGCAGCCTTTGTACGCTGTCTAATATGCCATAATGTGAGCCCTGGCCTTGGGTCTGTTTGTGTTATTTTCTTAAAATAGTCACAGAGAAGGCCCCTGGAGAGTTCCTTTTTCCCATGACCTGCCCAGACCAGAAGGCTTAGGATGACTCTGGTCCTCAGAAACAAAAGCCAAAGAAAAAAAAAAGCCAAGAAACCAGGCATGGTGGCTCACGCCTGTAATAACAACATTTTGGGAGGCCGAGTTGGGGGGAATCACTTGAGGCCAGGCAGCCTGGCCAACAAGGTGAAACGCCATCTCTACTAAAGATACAAAAATTAGCAGGGCGTGGTGGCATGCACCTGTAGTCCCAGCTACTCAGGAGGCTGAGGCAGGAAAATCGCTTGAACCTGGGAGGCAGAGGCTTCAGTGAGCCAAGAAGGTGCCACTACATGGGCAACAGAGTCTTTCTCTGTCTCAAAGAAGAAAAAAGAAACCTAAGACAAAGGAATCAGGTGATTCCCGGGATTAGAACAACACTGTCTTGACTCTACCACTGAACACTTGGCTTTGCTCTGAAGAATCCCCCTCCCTCAATGGGTACGGTCTCGGTGAGACTTCCCAAGGGGCCCCATCCCATCCCCAGCCTAGGGCTGGACATGTGACCCCAGCAGGACAATCAGGGTGCTCACTCCTTCCATTTCCATTCAGGGCTCATGGCACGAGACCTAAAGTGGGTTGGAGTTTCTGTCCCATTGGTGGAGCCCCGAAGAGATTGTCCTTGAGTTCCCAACTGCCAGAGCTGCCATCGTTTCTGTTTCTTTCATGTCCTATTAAAGATTGAGTTAAATCCTATCTTTTTAGTAACTTTTCTTTCCTTCCCTTCCTTCCCTCTTTCCTTCCTTCCTTCTTTCCTTCCTTCCTTCTTTCCTTCCTTCCTTCCTTTCCTTCTTTCTTTCTTTTTTCTTTCTTTCTTTCTTTCTTTCTTTCCTTCTTTCTTTCCTTCTTTCTTTCTTTCTTTCTTTCTTTCTTTCTTTCTTTCTTTCTTTCTTTCTTTCTTTCATCAGCTAGAGTCAGTGTCTGTTGGTTTTTTAAAAAATCCTGACTGGTGGGTACCTTCCAGGTACTGGAAGGTGACAGAAATTAGCCTCCATGGGACACTGAACACTGACAGCACTGAATTCATAGACATTATTTAACATCTGTACCTGCTAACTCATGCACTCAGCTAAGAAAGGTACCGTGTTTTTTCATTAAAAGTTGAAATCAAGGTAAGGCTAACGGTCTACGGCCATACCACCCTGAACATGCCCGATCTCATCAAACTATGGCTAACGGTATAGGATTTACCTATCCTGTTCTTTCAGACTTGTAATTATTAAAATGACATTATTAGGCATTAAAATGACACGCATCATGGGGATGTGGGGAGGTGGGGAAGGTAGGCAACTCAAAGCAAACTTCATTTCAGGCAGTGCGCCCCTTCTCAATGAATGGCATGTGAAGCAAACAGCACATTTTAAAAGGTTTTTGAGATAAGATTTAGTACCTGTTTTGAGCTGAACGGTGCCCCCTACCTCCTTAAAAAAAAAAATCAGCGTATCTTTTTTTTTTTTTTAAGGAGGCAGGGGGCAGAGGTTGCAGTGAGTTGAGATCAGGCTACTGCACTTCTGCCTGGGAGACAAAGCAAGACTCTGTCTCAAATAAATAAACAAAACCAACAGACAAACATATACATACACACCAGATTGTATAAGAAAAGTCACCACCAGCCACAGACCACTTGTTATTACAGTGCCTCTTTCTAGATCTCTTGCCTCTGACTTCTTGTCTTCCTACCCAGCAGCACCTCGAAATCCACCAGGGCTGAAAGTAGCCTGAGCAGCGGAATCTCTGCCCCTAGACTTCCTCAGGAAACCCTTCACAGGCCCACATGGGGGTCAGACCACACTTTCTGACAACAACATCGCCTACCTTTTCTACATCTCTTTCCGCTGGCATTCAGATTCTGAATAACTGTGTATTTGTGCCATTCAATTCAGATTTTAGAAAAAAAAAAAAACAGTTCTACGAGTGACAATAATATCACTCAAGCCCTAATATTGATTCTAGTGATGAGAAAATAATGAAGCGACGGGGCTCCATTCCCATTTGCCTGCGGGGCCCCCTGAACTCCTAGGCGTTTGCCTCACTACTGTCTGTGGGCAAACTTCCTTTCCAGCCACAGCCAGAATTCGAAACTTCTCCCATCTGCGTGACGCATTATGTACGTTGGTAGAAGAGAAAAGTACACTGTTTTCCTAATAACCGTTGTTCCTCAAGAAAACACTTTTTTCCTATAAGGAAATTTTAGGGCTACATAAACCAGAAACCTATATATTTTCAGAAAACCCAAGGAGGCTTCAAAACCTTTCCAATTTAACAAATACTTCCAGAATCTGCTGTGTTACATGGCTCTGGTGTATGTCCTGACATAGAGTGATAAAAAGATTAATGAAACACTCTATCATCAAGGAAACTACAGTCTAGAAGAGGAATAAGACAAGCACATAAGAACTGTTCTATGAGACAAATATGTGTGCCCTGAGAGAGAGATAGCTGAAGCTGTATCCAGGAACAAGTATTTTCAGAAGGCTTATCTTCCATAACACTGTAAACCAACCAGCTAGCTCACTTACCAAGACTAACAGCTTCCCCATCAAGGCTAGCTTAGGGGATGTGAGGGTGATCTGCCTGTGACAACTCTCACCCCACTGATCGCCAGGGTTGATTCGACTGATCTGGCTGGCTAGATGGGTGACCCCTTCCTCCCTCACTGCTCCATGTGCGTCCCTCCCGAAACTCCACGCTCAGTCGAAGAGGACAACCATCCCCAATAGAGGAGGACCAGTCTTGGGTCAAGGGTGTATGAGTAGCTGCGCTCCCCTGCTGGAACCTCCAAACAAGCTCCCAAGATTAGCTTTGGGACTCTCACTGCATTGTGCCCACAAAGTCCTATGCCCAAAGTTCTTGTATCAGAAACTCTGCCCAGTGTTGAGACCTACTTCAAAATCACCCAGCCCAGGCCCCAAAACCTGACATTCCCCTTCTGAGGCACTACTAATTCTTTTTCAAGGTGGTGTCCTCCCTGACCACAGTAAGCATAACAAACTTGGCTTTGCTTGACCAACAGGTTATCTAGCTGTTCCTTTTGCAAGTCAAGAGTCAACACCCCTTTCTTCTAGTAAGCAGACCCCTATTATCTGAGATGACTTCATTCCACGTGGTTGAACTGGAGATTCTCCTCCATGCCCCTGGCCACAGTGGTTACCTCAGAAATGGACACATTACCTGGGCTGGTTCAAACAAGTCTTAATAAAGCGTTTGGTACTTAGGATGGGATGTTGCAAATATCTAAAGCTGAAATATGGAGCCAGCTAAAGCAAGGGAAGGGATGGGGTAGATAGAATCTTCTCATCCCTGACCTTATGTGGAAAGCAAACAACTAATTATGCTGCTGTCTCTTGGGCCTCAGACCACTCAAGTTGGCTCCTTTAGGAGAAGTGAAAGACTTGTACCAGGATCTGGAATTTGTTAGCTACGTCTTAATGGCTTTGCTAAGATATTTTAGGAAAGGCATAAGCTTCCAGCCAAGCTGGCCCATTTGAAGGTATAAAGGAAACAGCTTTGGTAATAATAACAACAGCTCACATTCATTGTGTGTTATGTGCCAGATGCCATTCTGAACACATCACATGAATTTTCTCATACAATTTTTTGCAACAGTTTCACAGGGTGGATACTATTGTTATCCCTACTTTACAGATAAAGAAACTGAGGCCTGGGGAGACAAAGTAGCCTAACCAAAGCTACAGCTAGAAAGTAGCAGAATTGCCAGGCGCAGTGGCTCACGCCTGTAATCCCAGCACTTTGGGAGGCCAAGGCGGGTGGATCACGAGGTCAGGAGTTTCAGACTAGCCAGTTCGAGATCAGCCTGGCCAACATGGTGAAACCCCATCTCTACTAAAAATACAAAAATTAGATGGGCGTGGTGGCACACGCCTGTAATCCTAGCTACTTGGAAGGCTGAGGCAGGAGAATCACTTGAACCCAGGAGGCGGAGGTTGCAGTGAACTGAGATCGCACCACTGCACCCCAGCCTGGGCAACAGAGCAAGACTCCGTCTCGGGAAAAAAAAAGAAAGAAAAAAGAAAGACAGTAGCAGAATTAGGAAGCAAAGTCTTGCTCTAGAGTCCATGCCTTTCACCCTTTTGCCTACAGGCAGCAGACTGCAGAGGATCAAACATGTGCCTGGCAGAACTATAGGAGCCAGGTTCTCTGCCTTAGTTAAAGGGGCATGAACAGCCAGAAATATAGTAAGATCGGGCTCCCGGAGGAGGCAAACTAATAGAGTGGGGGCCCTGGCGCAGTGGTTCACATCTGTAAATCGCAGCACTTTGGGAGGCCGAGGTGGGAGAATCGTTTTCTGAGACCAACCTAAGCAACATAGCGGGACCGCATCTCTATAAAAATTTTTTTTAAAAAAATTTTTAATTAGCTGGGTGTGGTGGCACATGCCTGTGGTCCCAGCTACTCAGGAGGCTGAGGTGGGAAGATCACTTGAGCCCAGGTGGCCGAGGATGCAGTGAGCTGAGATCGTGCCACTGCACTCCAGCCTGGGTGACAGAGCAAGACCCTGTCTCCAAAAATAGAGAAGGAGGAGGAGGAAAAGGAGGAGAAGGAGAAAAAGAGGAAGAAGAAGAAGAGGAAATAGGGTGGGTATTTTATTCCCCAAACACCTCCTGCCACACAGAGGTAATCATTTCTACTAATGCTGCAGTCCCTGGGATGTAGTCTGGGAACGGCAGACCCCTATGGTTTCAGATTATCCCAAAGCTAAGAGAGAGATTGACGCCATCAAACTGAAGGTGGAGGCATGGGCAGGAAGCCTGTGGCTAAGAGACAGACATCATAAAGATGGGCTCTAAGTTAAAGAAACTGGGCTCCTCTAAATCTGGGCCTTTATCCTATGGAGTTGCCGGAGATCAGATTTACCAGCATCTGAGTTTTTATTTATTTATTTTTTTAATAGAGACAGGGTCTCATTGTATTGCCCAGGCTGTCCTTGAACTCCTGGGCTCAAGCAATCCTTCCACCTCAGCCTCCCAAAGTGCTGGGATTATAGGTGTGAGCCACCGTGCCCAGCCTCAAATGGGTTTTTAAAGTTTTATTGCCAAGGAAATGTTGATGGCCTACAAACAGGAGCCTAGGATCCCTGGCCTCAACAGAAGTGTTCAGGTGCCCCTCCACACACCTCCTGTAACCATGCCCACAGGAAGAGGCTGCCACTTCACCCCCAGGCAGGTCAGCCATGGAACGCGCTGCTGCAAAGCAGGACCAGAGGCTCCCAGACTGGCTCACTCGGAAACCCACTCCTCCACTAGCAAGAGAAAGGATACCCTTTAAACCAGTGACCACTGTATGTAGTTTTCCCTTCTCCTCTTTCTCAAGTGGCAATTTGTAACCTACAGTGCCTCAGTTTCCTCAACTGTAAAGCGGAGGATATTTGTATTTACCACATGGGATTCATGTGAGGATTAAATAATTTAAATAAAAAATGCTTAGAATAATTCCTGGGAAAAAAAAAAGTGCTCAGTTAGATTTGGGTGTCGCTCTGCTAGGTCAGCCATCCTCCTTCTCCTCCATCAGTGTGTCCTGAGTGTGTAGAAAATGGTTGTCCATTTATTTCATTTTTCTTGAGTTGGGGTCTTGCACTGTCTGCCCAGGCTGGAGTGCAGTGGTGCAATCAGATCTCACTGCAGCCCCAAACTCCTGGGCCCAAGCAATCCTCCTGCCTCAGCCTCCCAAGTAGCTGGGACTAGAGGCATGCACCACTGTATCGGCTAATTTCTTTTATTTCTATTTTTTGTAGAGACAGGATTTCACTGTTGCCCAGGCTGGTCTCAAATTCCTGGCCCCAAGCAATCCTCCCACCTCAGGCTCCCAAGTCACTTCACCCATTTCCTCCCAGTCCTGGCACAGCCCTGCATACGTAACTGATACATAGAACTTAGATAACAAAAAGTGACTGAAAACTACTTTATTTGAAGACATTTTCTTCTATAGTTCTAAACACAAAAGGAATGCTGTTATAGTGGGTATTTCATAGGCATTCTTGTATTCAAATGAATCACATAATGTTTACACTTTTAAGCTAGACTTGAAATTGAAGACTTAATACAACCTTTTAACAAAGAAAGTATCAGTCATATCAAAACATAACTATTCATTCTACAGATTATCACTTTCCCTAAAATGACTACTAGATATGAAAACATTGCAGGGACAGCTCAAGTGCCCCATTCTTAAGGGTTTTTTTTAATAGGAAAAATGACAACGTAAATCACATTTTCCTTTTCTTTACTAGTAATGAACTATGGCAATCCATTTGAGAAAGCACCAGCCAACCGTACAAGTCATTTCAGCACCCTTTGCTCTTCAAAACTGACCATCTTTTATATTTAATGCTTCCTGTATGAATAAAAATGGTTATGTCAAGTACAGACGTCAGCAACGTGTCAGTTGGTGTGAATTTATGATGTGTTCCTAAGTCAACAGAGAAAATAAAAAAAATCTCTCATGTGAATAAAATCTAAGGATGAAAAACTATCCTTTGATAATTATCACAAGGCAAAATCAACCACCTTTTCATCAGTACTAGTGTGGAATGGAAATTTCTTTATTAATACTTTTTATGGGAATGTTTTAAAGGCATAGGTATAAATGCACATGCAATCAGCTTGCCCCTCTTAGATACTAACTTCCCCAGCTTCACTCCTCCTTTTCACTGGAACAAGCTGCTGAATCCCTAACTCCAAAGTCTGCAGTGCTTGGTGAGCATTTTTAAATAAAGATTATATGTGATTTTCACTTTTTCACAAAAATGAAGTACAGAGAAGACTGAAAAGCAGTGAGAAAAAAATCATAGAGCAAAAAACTAAAACACAAGATGTGATGTTCAAATTTAAAAGAAAAACAAAACTGGTTCGTGATGATTGTTAGTAAATCACAAAAACAAAGGACGGACAGGGCCAAGACCGAAGGGACCACCAGACCACCGAGCCCCAATGTGCCAGACAAAAGTGGGCATCTTTGAGAAGGACGCCCTGGTGAAGACAATTACAGTGAACCTCTTTATAAGGCCGTAAGCTCTTCAAGGTCATGGGCCGTGACTTATTTATGTCTGTATTCTGTTCTTAGCATTGTCTTGCACATGACAGACACTCAGTATTTCTGGTAACCACAGAACTGGAGCTCAATCAGCTCACTGCTTTCAAAGTCATTTTGGTTGGTGTCTACCCACTTAATTCTTTCACTCCTCTGTCTAAGGCAGGGATGGCAAATAGCCTTCATTTCACTCTGATGGACTGGGAATAGATGTCTGGAAGCACCAATCTGACATGGATTCTAAGACCAAATCCTGGCACAGAGGACAGGAATGCTGCACTCATTCATAATGCCTCCTTAAAAGAGCGGTGGCACAGGTGTTATATATTCCCCATTCCTGGTCTAGGAAAAAGGCATCCAACACCTACTTATATTCCTTTTACATTGCTATGCTGCCTCTTGAGTGATCTGCATTAAGCCACTGTTCGTTAAATGCTGGTTGATCAGGAAGACCAAGGCCTTTCCTCTCAATTTACGTCTTTGGCCAAACAGGTAGGGTCAGAACTTCACCTGGAAATCTGAAAACACATCATCCACAATGCTCAATAGGCAACAGTCCATTGAAAGAGAACAGGTATTTACTTGATTACTCCCTTTGTAGAGAAAGAATTTTGCCCATCTCAATGGTGTGTAGCTTTCATTGATATCTAAGGCATTTGGAATTACTTAGGATCTTGGTGTTAAAAAAAAAAAAATGGCAGGGTTAAATTCTCTTTGGTTCTCATTCTAATCTTAAGACTTCTGTTTGTTTCTTCCTGGTACCCATAACCTTCTCAGCACTTCGTCGTTGTGACTTAACCAATACTGTTGAAATAATCAACTCTTTCACACATTCATCAGAAAACCTTTTAAAGGATGCTAAGGGGAGAGGCCTCTGAAAATAAGTGGGTTGAAAGGAAAGCCAGAGAGAATAACAGGAAGAACCAACCTTCTAACAACCCACACACAGGACTCTCTACCATTCAGACTGCTATCTATAAAATAGGGTGCTTCTGGTCGGGGGGCTGCCACCCCAGGTCCTCCAAGCAACCCTTTTCCCCATAGTGGGAGGTCAGCATCCCTCAGAAGCATCTCAGGAAAAAATGATAAAGCATTTAGAGAATTGGGAAGAAAATAGAGGGATACTATCAAAGAGTAAAGGACAGTCCTGGGGGATGAAGGGGGATTTTCTTTTTTCTTTTTTTTTTTTTGGAGACAGAGTCTTGCACTGTCGCCCAGGCTGGAGTGCAATGGCACAATCTCGGCTCACTGCAACCTCCGCCTGAAGGGAGATTTTCAAAGCAACATTGCCTCTATCATAGGTAGTCTTCAATGTAATACTGGCACCAACAAGAGAACCGAGCTAAATTAAAACTACCCTCAAAATGTCATCACAGCTGATGTGCACAGCAGGAAGGACGATGTCACAAAATGCACAGATCTGTTCCTATTGCACATTCCACCTTTCCCACGTACTGCTGGCAGCCCAGAATAACCAAAATCTTTTTAGATGTCTGTCTTAAAGAGAGCTATAATATGCAAACATACACACACACACACACACACACCCCCACACACACACACAACCTCAAACCTGGTTTATAAAAGAGCTTTGTGGATCAGAGTACACCCTCACTTGGTCCAAGAATCTAATTGTCAACATTAGGCAAATAGACCCAATGAATGTAACCAGGAAGAGAATTAACTGGTTGGCTGGAATATTGTATTTGATATGATATGCTTATTTGCAAACTAATCTCCAACTGTTTGTCCAGTACTAATTCAACTGACTCATCTTCTAAATGTATAGGACAAAGCCTTTAAAAAGTTAAGCTCTTCAGCAACGAAAAGTTAACACCATCTAAAATAAATAGATTTTAAAATATATGTAATGAAATTACAGGTCACTGGAAATTCAATTCTACAATGAATATAAATTAACATTAAAATCTATTAAGTACTATTCCTGGGAAGATTTTGGTTCAGAGGTTTTATTTTTTTAAGGGCTTAATATTTGGGAATAAATGGGCATAGCTTAGAAACCCTTACAAAGTTGTAAGTAGACTAGAGGTAAGATTATTTGGTGACAAGATACAAAGATCTGTTTCTATGTCCAAAATAATGGCTTACCTCATTTTAGTTAATAGAAGTATTCCCAAAAAGTTGTGCAAATAGGCTTTTTATAACTGGACGCTTATTTTAAGTATACTAGAGGCCATGGTTGTAAAGAAAACCTGTAGTCACTCCTCTAATAAACTGAAGAACTCTAAGTGATTAGCCCCTGTCCTACATCTGCACAGTGGACGGCATACTCCAGGCACTCATAAGTGTTTGTTGAATGCATGAATTCGCTCTGACAGTTTTTTTTTTCCCCTACAGGACTTTCTTAAAGTGAGGCACATGCTAACTGAAATGGTTCTGCCCGCTGTTACTGCAGAAAGATGGAATCCAGCTCACAGTTTAACTGATGCCATTACAAAATATCAGATAATTTCAGAGTGTTTTCAATCAAAATAAAATTTCCATAAGTATGAGTGTATGTATTTTTGAGGAATGTTGATCTATGATTGGCAGAAGCTTTTATTGTTAACTCACTCACTGAAAACAACTGCTTGAGCTGAATTCTATTTCAATTAACAACCAAGGCAAGTAAAGCACTTTACCTAACTTCAGAAATACCACCAGAAACCATTCCACTTCTGTAACAGCTTCTTCCCCTCACTCCAGCACAAATATTTAAATGCTGTCCTTACCTTAGTCCACAAAAGCAAAACATGAATTACAAAGCTAAGATTAAATTAGAAAGCTGCCGACTTAAATATGACAAAGTTTTTTTAGCCTTAAAATAAGAACTAAGTCAAATACATTCAACAAAAGTAACTCTTAAAGGCAAATTTTTTTCTTATTTGGTGTTTTCTTCCCTTCCCATTTAAATTTAAGACTCAATTTTTAATAATATTCATATGTCCATTTTTCTAAATAATATATCCTCTTTAAAACAATACAGAATGCCTAGCAGTGCAACCTATGTGTCCACATAAATATGCAACCTGCCACATAAATAAAATAAGAGGTTTTATCAGTCTATTTATCCAGCATTTGTAACTGCAAAAAAGGCTGGAAAAATAGCTAAGAATATTTTTATGCAAGTTTTGGGGAGGACTGAACACTGGTAAGGATTCACTGTAGGGCTCCATCATTATAAGTTTCCTAAAAAGTAGTGTGCAAACAAAATATCTGAACACAGAACCCTAAACATACTAGATGTATGTGTGGGTATGGGTGATGGAGAAGAGAGAATGAATATGTTAATATGAATGCTTGTCAAGGACACTGATAAGAAAAAGAAAACCTCTCACTTAAGGTGCTAATGATATGTCAAGGGACCTAAATACAACAGATTTTAAAATCATCTTTACCATTTGTCCCAATTATTGACTTTGGCCCTTTACCACACAGACACAATGAATCTACATTTTGATGATCCGTCATTGGCCCAAGAGTATCATGTTTGGAGATGGATTTGCTCCCATAATTTAAAAATCAATAATTTAAAAAATAACAAAGTTGGTCTCTTTTTTCCACCAGTTTTCAAGTAATTAGTTCAAGTAAGCTTATTTACAGCTGCTACTGTATATATGTGACCTACTTTAACCCTTCTTTACCCTTTAGGAATTGGTCTCCCTTGGAATGGGACACCACATTTTAAAAAAAACTTGAACCAGGTTTTTTTCATCTACCAATTCAATTCAGTCATGTTTCTGCTTTATTGGGCAGATAAAGAGAAGAAACCAGCAAGTTATGTCCAAAAGCTGGAAAACGCCGAAATGCTTCCCAACTATCTGAAAAGATGTTGTACTTGAGGAACACTCGGTGTTCCAAGCTGGTCGACAGGGTGACGTCTCTGCTCATGATGTAGATGCCGTCGTTATGGAGCGCACAAGTCAAGTTAAGACCCGATTTGGACGTGTTCTCCTTGAGGTAGAGCCACTGGCGGGTGACGGTGTTGTAGGACTGCACGGTGAGCATGTCCTCGCTCTGGCTGCTCCTGCGGTTGGGCCCCAGCTCGTGGAGACACCCCCCCACGATGTAGATGGTCTCTTCCACAGACACCATCTGCTGCTTGCGAATGTGGACGTCACATGTTTCAAAGAGCGTCCACATGTCGGAAGAGGGGCAGTACTGCAAAATGTTCATGTTCCGGTCTGAAAGAAAGAAAGACAAGTGATGACACCGCCTCCACTAACACCACTAGGCAAGTCTGTACAGAAATGTCTACCTCTGCCTGCATAATTTGGTAACAAAGAGAAAAAACTCTTTCAGAAAAAGCACAAGTTAGAAAAACAGTTTTCAAAGTGGCTGGGAAGAGATATATTTAGATCCATCCGCACTCACCTCCCACTCCCAAACGTCTCTTCCGTGGGAGACTCAGACTGGATAAAACCAGGAAAAAGCGCAGCTCTGACTTTCACACAGCCCCTCCTCCCTGGTATCCCCACACCTTTGAACCACCAGGTCAGTGTAAAAAAAGTAAGTGCCTCAGAACCCTCATCAATAGCTACAAAATTACCGACTACTTAATACAGAAGCCAGGCTGGGCAGCAAGTAGATTATTCTTGATAGCTGATCCTAAGAAACATGACAAGTAGCAACACAGGATCTCCAGAGGCTGTCTAGTGAAAAGGACACAACGTTACAAGTCAGGAGAAAGGCAGCAAAGTCTCACCTGCGGCCTTCTAACAAGCCACAGAACCACTTGGCAATTCAGTTTCCAGTTTTTTTTTTGTTTTTTTTTAAAGACAGGATCTTTACCATGCCTAGCCTTAGTTTCCCCATTATATCACCAGAGAGACACTAACAAAGGTCCTCCCCTCTCCCTTTTCCCATTTCCCATGTCCCTCA
Source organism: Homo sapiens (assembly GCF_000001405.40). Lineage (NCBI taxonomy): Eukaryota > Metazoa > Chordata > Mammalia > Primates > Hominidae > Homo > Homo sapiens. Next base: position 27,797,017 of record NC_000012.12, on the reverse strand, counting down.
CAAGATGACAGTTGTAGCGTAGATAAGATCAACGTCTAGATAAAAGGTTGCTCTGACATTTTTAATTAATAATGATTTTCGGCCAAGCATGGTGTCTCATGCCTGTAATCCCAACTCTTTGGGTGGGCTGAAGCAGGAGGATCACTTGAGCCTAGGGGTTCGAGACCAGCCTGGGCAATATGGTGAGACCTCCTGTCTCTAAAAAAAATAAAAAATTAGCCAGGCATGGTGGTGTGCACCTATGGTACCAGCTGCTACTTGGAAGGCTGAGGTGGGAGGATCACTTTAGCATGGTAGGGTGAGGCTGCAGTGAGCTGTGATCATGTCACTGCATTCCAGCCAGGGTGACAGAGTGAGATCCTGTTCTCTCAAAAAAAAAAGTAATTTTCTTTAAGGAAAAATATGGCCTCGTCTCTTTTTGAAAAACGCTTGTGAAATTTAGAATATCTAGTTTTGTTTTTCTTGTTTTTAATTGTTCTCTTTTCTTTTCTCCTCTAGGAAAGAATAAACAAGTATTTTAGCCTCAGCAGAAAAAACAAATGCTCTGAGTTATAAACAGAATGAACTTTGTTGTTGTTTCTAAACAAACAAATCCTATCCATGAAGGAGACAGCTCAGCTTGGGAACTGGCAGACGACTAAAGCCTACAGCATTTTGACGGCTGCAGGCGCTTGGTAAGAGAAGACAGCTCGTTTTCTCAGAAGTTTCATACCTCTTACAGTCCTTTCTTCTGAGAGGGACCCACTCATAGTTAGCAATGCTTAAAGAGCACCCTCCACAGCCACATCTGATACAAACTGAAGTATCTCCTAAGAGAGCCAAGTCCTGTGCGCGCACATGTCCTGATGCCTGGAGAAATCTCAGAATTGTAAGCCACGGCATTAGGAAACTGTCCTGATTTCCACCCACATTAATACCTCTCCTTCTTTCTTTTTACTGTAGCTATTATGATAAAGATCATTTTAGGAGATGGCCCAAGGGGATTTTGGTCACTTATTTAACAAAAAGTGCTCCTTAGTAACCTGGCTGTCCACCGAACCAATAAAGAACTCATTCTAGTGAGGCTTCCACGTATTTCTCAGCTCCAGGCCCGAAGGTCTTTCCAGGTGTTCTGTAAATGTTTTCTCTCTTCACTCAACAAGGTGGCCTGAGTTGGTGGAATGATCTTTTTGTTTTTACATTTAAAGTTGATTCTGAAGTTTGACAAATCACCCTTCTTCCCTTTATAGCTATTACTCTCTATTGAACTTCTCTGAATTTCTTCAGTGCTGCTAAAGAATTAAAATAATCAAATAGCTACCATAAAAATAATGAGCTATTATTTACTAAATTTTAAAAGTCTCACTTGACTTAAGAAGTCAGGAGGCTAAAAACTAACTTTTTCTTTTTTTCCTAACAATCATGATGACTTATCTGAAATACAAGGAACTATTAGGAACTGCTGGGAAAGCCCCAGCAGAGAAAGAGAAGGGCTTCAGAGTATAAGTAACTGCCCAGCTCTCCCATCTTAGAAAACTAGTTTTCGGCCCTTACACAAATAGCCATCCATCCACATCACTGAACCATCCCATCATGGGTATTTGGCTCAGGGAATCCAGGACAGAAATCACGGTGGGTGGCCCAAGTGAAGAAGGTACATTAGCAGTGGCTTGTGAGGTTACAAAACACACAAGAAGGGTTTTCTAGGTCAAATCTAAAGAACATTTGCTCAGCCAGGGTCATGGAAAAACTAGGAAATCTACCAGTAAAGTACTCTTTGGGTTACAGTGCCGCCTGTCAGTGTTGAACAGCTCTTGGTTACAAGAGAAGTCAAAGCACATATGTGCGTTATGTCAGCCCACAAGATGCAGTCTGTGTTACTCAACCTAGAGAGGAATCAGAATTCTTAGAATTGCTCATAGGTAAATAACTGGGAGTATTGACTTTCCTAGAAGAAAAGACACACACATATACACACACACACGAGAGAGGGGGATTACTACATAAACACAGGAGTTCAGGGGGACTGAGGGGCCCATGGCTTAGTCTAAACCTATAATCACTGTAACCTGACAACCAGTGTTGAAGGTCAAAGCAATGACTACTAAGTTTCTTTTTTTTTTTTTCAATTATATGTAAAGAAAAAGTTGAAAACTATCTTCAGTGGAGAGTCACCAGAGAGGGACATTGGGAATAGCTCGACAAATAATGAAAACTTGGAGTGGGAAAAAAAAAAGGTCACTTCTCTTTGTCTTGCCTCTCCTTAAATACATAAATATACACATCACTTCAGTGGGTTGCATGGTGGTCCCTAACAAGATATGTCAAATTCCTAATCCCCAGAACCTGTGAATGGTGATTTTATTCAAAAAAAGGATCTTTGGGCCAGGCACAGTGGCTCATGCCTGTAATCCCAGCACTTTGGGAGGCAGAGGTGGGAGATCGCCTGAACCCAGGAGGTTGAGCCTGCAATGAGCTATGACTGTGCCACTACACTATTTCCTGGGCAATAGAGTGAGACTCCATCTCAAGGGAAAAAAGAAAAAGAAAGGGGGTCTTTGCAGATGTAATTAAGTTAAAAACCTTAAGATCTTTCTGGATTACCTAGATGGGGCCTAAATCCAACAGTGGCAACTGTCCTTAGACAGAAAGGGAGAAGCCACAGATACATACAGAGGCAGGGGCATCATATGAAGACAGAGGCAGGGGCATCATGGAGCCACCAGCCAAGGAGCCCCGAGCTACCAGAGACTAGAAGGAGCAAGGAGGACTCCTCCCCTAGAGCCCTCAGAAGGAGCACAGCCCCGCTGACACCTTGACTTCTGACTTCTGGTCGCCAGAACTATAAGAAAATATGTTTCTGTTGTTTTAGGCCACCAAGTGTATACTAATTTGTTATGGCAGCCACAGGAAACTAACACACCTCCCACCATCTTCCCCACTGAATTAATGTTTCGACTTATTCTAAAAAGAAATAAATCAGATGTTCATCAAATACTTTACATTTTAACTTCTTCCTAACATAAATCCCCAAAACAGGACACATTTGGATATGGTGGAAGGAATTTCTGTCACCTATCTGGATGCTACGTTAGCATGTGGATTTCTGTCCTTTGGGAAGTTCCCATGGCTGCTGCGGCCTCACAGGGTCTTCTTCAGGCTTGTTAGCCAGGGTTGAAGAGCTCTGTCCTGCCCATATGGTACCACAAAGGAGTGGTAGTTTATTTCACCATGTCAAATAAAACGGCAGGTCTACTACCATAATGTGGCTTAAAGTCCTAAGAGCCAGGTTACACCTTTTCTGTAAGTCCTGGGCTCCATAGAGTCACACAGACCAAATGCAGAAATAGATTTCCTTGGCTAAGAGGTAACTTGGAGACATCTGCTTTGGAGAGTAGAGGGAAGGAAAGGCACCCCTCTGCTTGACTGTCCCCCATTGTCTGTCTTCCCACAACCACAGTTTTATTTTTTCTTTTCTTTTTTTTTTTTTTATTTTAGAGACTGGGTCTCACTCTGTCACCCAGCCTGGGGTGCAGGGGAGCAGTCATAGCTCACTGCAGCCTCAAACCCCTGGCTCAAGCAATCCTCCTGTCTCAGCCTCCCAAGTAACTGGGACTACAGGTACATGCCACCACAACCAGCTAATTTTTTTATTTTCATTTTTAGAGAAGGGGTCTTGCTGTGTTGACCAGGCCTATCTTGAACACCCAGGCTCAAGTGATCCTCCTGCCTCAGCCTCCCAAGCAACTGGGACTACAGGTACATGACACCACATCCAGCTAATTTTTTTCATTTTTAGAGAAGGTGTCTTGCTATGTTGCCCAGGCCTGTCCTCAACTCTCAGCCTCAAGCAATCCTCCTGCCTCAGCCTCCCAAAGTGCTGGATTACAGTCATGAGCCACTGTATCCCACCAACAACTACATTGTTCTCTATCACTGTAACCTGAGACAATTCCCTACCAAAAAGAGCAGTATAAAACTTGCTGGCAAGCAGGGCATGGTGACTTATGCCTGTAATCCCAGCACTTTGAGAGGCCAAGGCAGAACAATCACTTAGCCCAGGAATTCAAGACCAGCCTAGGCAACACAGGGAGACCTTGTCTCCACAAAAAATAAGCTTGTGGAGAAATTTTTTTAATTTCCAAATTATTAACAATAAAATGCCTACCAAAAAAGTGAAAAACACATATATACATTTTAATAAATAGTGGAACCAGGCCGGGCACGGTGGCTCACACCTGTAATCCCAGCACCTTGGGAGGCTAAGGCAGGTGGATCACCTGAGGTCAGGAGTTACAGACCAGCCTGGCCAACATGGTGAAACCCCATCTCTACTAAAAATACAAAAATTAGCGGGGCATGGTGGTGCAGCCTGTAATCCCAGCTACTTGGGGGGCTGAGGCAGGAGGACTGCTTGAACCCAGGAGGCAGAGATTGCAGTGAGCCGAGATCACGCCACTGCACTCCAGCCTGGGTGACAGAAGGAGACTCCATCTCAAAAAATAAATAAATAAATAAACAAATAAATAGATAGTACAACCACCTCCCACTGCTGGTCAGGAAAGAGCTCTCTTGTATTCATGTCCTTGCTCCTCCTGTGATATGTGAACAGTGTCCTAAAGCTGGGTTTCTGGAACCTCTACCTGATGTGTGTGTGCTCACAAAGAGAGAAAATGAGAACTAATCTGCAAGGATGCTCTGGTACTAAATTCCATAATGGTGGATGGGGGCAGGTTTGGTGTATGTTTGGGATAAGGATGGGAGTTCCCAGATAATCTTCTCCAAAGAGCTACCCAACCTCAGAGAGCGACCCCCACAAACCAGGCCCAGCCAAATCACAAGACGGCTGACCAAAAAGCTGGGTTTCCAGAAGCAAAAAAAAAGAGATAACATTTTTTTTTCACAGCTCTCCCTTCCCCATTCGATTTTCATGCTCACACAAAGTTATCAAAAGATCCCTCCTGTCCCAATCATCCCTGCCATATGGAACTCTCTTCCTTCCAGATGTGTAAGTGTACACTATTAAAGCATAACATGACACTCGGATATGTCGGGGCTTCCTCTGACACCCTCTTGCCCTTCCCAGACTGCTGACGCCTACACATGGGCAGACCACCTACCTGGTCCCTTCACTTACCTCTGGTAGTGTATCCTCCAATGACATAAATTTTTCCCTTACACTCACAGGCAGAGAACTCAGCCAGAGGATTGGGTAAGGGCGCCACAAAATTCCACGCATCCTGCTCGGGGTTGTAACACTCAACGTTAGAAACGGCCTGCCCTCCGATGGCATAGAGTTTTGAATTAACAGCCACAAGTTTGAAGTTAGACCTGAAAGAGAGACACAAAGGCCCACAGAGTTAGTTCTTCTGATCAATGAAAAGTGTAACAATGGCATGAACTACTAGACTCTCCTGAACATCTGAAGAAAATTCGCTCTCCCAGTTGGGGGCCATTCCGCCTGAGGACAGAGGAGGAAAGGATGGCTTCTCGAATCTCACTCCTGTCCCCAAGATTCCACGGGAATGGCACACTGTCCAAACACTAGCTATCGAAGATAAGCAGTTCAATACAACAAGTTATTAATCTTGTTCAGCCTTAGTCCAGCAACCAAAGACAATGTGTATACACTAAACTCCACACTTTCTTTCAGGGGCAGGCACAAGGGTAAGAGGGGAAGGCACCCACATCACCCCATTGTCTTTCACCTCTCAGAATGGGTATTTCATTCTTCCTACTGAGTAGTATGGCTTCATCTTAGGGACACACTGGTGCTGTCGAGACAGGCAGGTGCGAGGAGTGACTGCTAAAGGGTAGGTCAGGAGATCCTTGCACAACGAGTATACCTGAGCAAGACACTGGTCCTGCCTCCCGCCTCCAAGGGCATCTAACATACTGCTTCACAACATGTAAGATGGGGAGAGGTCAGCACTGAACAAATTCACAGTTTGTATTTATTTATTTACTAATTTATTTATGAAACAGGGTCTTGCTCTGTCACCCAGGCTAGACTGCAGTGGCACAGTCATAGCTTACTGCAGCCTTGAACTCCTGGGCTCAAGAGAGTCTCCTGCCTCAGCCTCTCGAGTAACTTGGACTACAGGTATGTATCATCATATTCAGCTATACTCAGCTAATTTTTTATAAACAGTTTTTTGTGGAGATGGCATCTCACTATGTTGTCCAAGATGATCTTGAACTCCTGGCCTCAAGTGATCCTCTTGCTTCAGCCTCCCAAAGTGCTAGGGTTATAGTTATAAGACACCACAACCAGCCTCAAAATATTTTGATCCAGCATTCTTAGGGTCTTTACATATGTTAATTCAACAAATACTTCTATTGACAAATGCTCATCTTTCATAAAAATAATAACTTGAAAAAGAGATGGACAATGGTTTCCAGCTCTATATTCAGAAAATAATTAAATGCTGCTTATCAGCTTCAGACACTAAATAAGTCTTATGATTTTTGAACTGAATAGTAACACAAAATTAATTTGTTTCGATATAGCACACAAAAGGCAGGAAGGATAAACTCTTGGGAGTGTTGGGTCAGTCTGCTGTGAGGTGTGCAACAGTCACAAGTTTACAAGAGGATGAGCAGCAGCATGATGCAACAGAAAAAAACCTGAGCACAAATCAGAAGACCTCGCTTCTAGTCCCAGCTCTGCTGATAACCAGCTATCTGACCCTGGTCCAACCACCTCACTTCCTCATCTGTAAAATGGGGTAACAGCCATCACAAGGTGGTAGAGATGATTAAATCAAATAGTCTATCAGAAACTACTACACAGAGATAAAATACTATCATTCAAATTTCTGTTTTCTAGTGTTTGAAATAAAGGTGCTAGACCAAGTGAATTTCAAGACCACATCCAACCCCAACACAATGATGTCTTCAAAAATAATAATATACTAAGAAAGAATGGAGGTAGAGGCTATGCACACACAAAAAACTTATATAAGGGAGTAGATTAAGAAGAAGCAGTAAACAAGAAGCCCATGCTTGATCCCCTAAAAAGTGTTCAATAAAACTGATGCATTACACTATGGAAACTAGGTTAGTAATAGGCACCTACTAAACAGTTAAGATTTTTTAAAGGTTCCTATCATGTTTATATCTAAATGTGTTTTAGTTTGTTTTTCCAATCAGAGCGTGAATAGAGTACTCTTCATCAAGAGCCTCGTCTTGTCCCTTAAAGCCAGCCAGCCAGCCAGCCAGCCCACTTTTTTGTGCCAACAGACGTCAGGGTGGCAGGTACTGGGGGGTCCCTGATTCCTGCTGCTTACCTTTCTTGCTGCCAATGGTCCTTAAAATCCAACCATGATGCCCTCTCTGTGTGTGCAAATTTGGGGAACCAAAGGAAATAAAGCTTGTAAACAAGCACTAAATTTTCCCAGCCGCAATTTGTTTTTGCTCCCCAAAGGTACACAGATAGTAAATTTTGTAAGATCAAAACAGTTTTTAGTATTTATCCAGCATAATCATTTGTCCTAAGCAAACATGTAAGGGGCTTCTTTTTGAGACCAATGAATAGGCAGTTAAAGTAAATGATTCCATCTCTCCAGACCCCAACACGCTCAAATTCACTTGAAGAGAAACACTTTTTAATGCTGAATTTGTTTTAAGATGAAATTGCCACCTAAAAACAGACCATTTAATAAAGAGGCATACTGCTAAAGGTTATGAGTCCAGGCTTACACAGGGAAGTCTCAGACATCACACATCAATTGCTGTCTGACCTTAGACAAATTACTGAATCTGTTGATCTGTTCCTCAGTTTTCTCATCTGTTAAGTAGGGATAAGAAGGGCACAATATCTGGCATGCAGTAAGAGCTGAAAAGGACAGCACTTGCAGAGATAAGTCTTTCTCCATTGGCATTCTAGGGAGTGCTTCTCTGGGTGTCCTAAGTCTAAGTTTTTCTTAACCTTGGGAGCGTTGGTTTCTCATTTGTCAACTGCAACAGTCACTGACTGTGATGTTTTGTGCTCTCTCATCCACAAATTCTCATCACTTACTGCTTCATTTCCAACTTTCTGAAAATAATTCTTCCACTCTTCACCTCCTGAATGGTAAAGGTATAAATTCAAGCTATCAACTACTTTTCAAAATTATCATCTCTACAGTGTTTTCTTAATTTAACACACTATGTTCACGAGGTAAAAAGAAGAATTTCAAGACCAAGTAACAAGTCATCTATCATAGCTATATACTTGTTCCTTGCAATAAATAAAAATATTATCATTAGAATTTCTGTTTTAAGTGAGAAAATTGGATAAAACCACAATTGAATTTCAAGGTCACTTATAAGAAAAATTTTTTTTAAAAGGAGAGCTTTTTAAGAGACAGGGTCTCGTTTCATTGCCCAGGCTGGAATGCAGTGGCCTGATCATGGCTCACTGCAGCCTTGAACTCCCAGCCTCAAGCAATCCTCCTGACTCAGCCTCCCAAGTAGCTAGGCCACCGTGCGTGGCTTAAAAAGCTCTTTAAACCCCTAAAAGCTAAGTAACATGAAACATGCTTAACACCAGCACGCAGATCTCAAGGATTAACAGTAGCTACATACAACCATAGGAAGGCAAGATGACACAGAGGTCTGGGTGGCTTCGAGTCTAGCCCTGTGATTATGTGGAAGGTAATTAAACTCACTGAGCCTCAGTTTCCACTTTAAGGAAATGGGATTAATAACATCTACCTCACAGAGATGTTGTGAGCATTAATATGAAGTGACACCTCAAGTTGTGACTACAATACCTGACCCAGAGTAAGAGCTCAAGAAATGAAAACCATCATTATGACCCCCTATGTAGAGAAAGAAGTTTGCTTACCATCAGAGTAAAAATTAGAACAAAATGCCAAGATCCTTTCAAAAGTCCTTTCTCAACCACTCAGAACACGACTGCTTAAGTCTGTGGGCCATCCAGGTCCTTTTGTCTCCTCTTTCCCCTTCATCTACTTGCCTTCTGCCATGTCCCTACGCATTAACTTCCCCTAGGGACTAGGAAGGGGAGAAGGGGAAAGGTTAGAAAATAGAGGTAGTCATTGTTGCAACCTATGCCCAGCTCTAAGAAACTCCAAAAGCAAAGATGCAAAAAGCAATTTAAACTGTTGGCCAAAATTAAATGGGGAGTTGGGGGGGAGTGTGAATAGACGTACAGTTTTCTTTCTTGCACTATTCCCAGGCTCTACTACAACATCAACCACAGAAATGCTCCAAAAATGGTAAACATTGGCTGAGAGGAGAAGGGACAGCTCAGCAAACGCTAAGGCTGACAACTGCAATTCCATCTCTGCCAGGAGACACTTGTTTATTAAAGTCTCTCTCTCAGCCTTGCTGTATTCACACATGGAACAGGAGGACTCACTCCAACTCCATTTTCAGAGCTAAAGTGCAGGGCAATGGAAAAGACTAGAGAAAGCTCTGGAAATGGAGAACCTTAATGAACCAACTGCTGCAACAGTGGTCAGTTCCTGCAAGTTATCACTGATTAAAGGGAAAGCAAGCACCCTCGATCTCACAAGCTTTTTTTTTTTTTTTTTTTGAGACAAAGTCTCACTCTGTTGCCCAGGCTGGAGTGCAGTGGTCTGATCTTGGCTCACCGCAACCTCCCCATCCCGGTTTCAAGCGATTTTCCTGCCTCGGCCTCTCAAGTAGCTAGGACTACAGGTGCCCACCACCATGCCCAGCTAATTTTTGTATTATTAGTAGAGACAGGGTTTCACCACGTTGGCCAGGCTGGTCTCGAACCTCTGACCTCAGGTGATCCGCCTGCCTCAGCCTCCCAAAGTGCTGGGATTACAGGTGTGAGCCGCCGTGCCTAGAGGTCTCACAAGCTTTTATGTGTGAAGAGTTACATCCTGACAATTTGTGAGATCAAACCCACGTTCAGACCATCAGGCAGTGTTGCACACTTGGCCTACAGAGCAAAACATTTCTTTTTTACCCTCTGATGGTCATATAGCACCCACTATCTTCTCCAGAGTGCAGAAGGCTTTATAAAATCTCTCAATTGGCCGGGCGCGGTGGCTCATGTCTATAATCCCAGCACTTTGGGAGGCCAAGGCAGGCAGATCACGAGGTCAGGAGATCGAGACCATCCTGGCTAACACAGTGAAACCCCATCTCTACTAAAAATACAAAAAAAAATTAGCCAGGCATGGTGGCGGGCACCTGTAGTCCTAGCTACTCGGGAGGCTGAGGCAGGAGAATAGCGTTAACACGGGACGCGGAGCTTGCAGTGAGCCAAGATTGGGCCACTGCACTCCAGCCTGGGCGACAGAGCGAGACTCTGTCTCAAAAAAAAAAAAAAAAAAAAACTCTTTCAATCCCAGAGTTCCTGCTATTTAAGATTCTGGATCACTGCACTATTCAGTCCCTGGGAAAAGTGAACTGCTCTACATTTGACCCCTTTATCAAAGTAAAATACTGATACATCCCAAAGCAGTCTCCGACAAAGGTGAATCAAAGTAGATGTGAAATTCTGCATAGCCAGAGGCCAAAATCTGGTTTTCTTTCTCAAGGTTCCAAATTTCTTCCAGTGCATGCATAACCTGTATTGGATGCCTCATCCAGGAAAAACTCTGTGCTAGGTTTCATTTTTACTTGTCTCATCACCTAAACTCAATTTTAAACTTCTTGAGGGCAGCAATTACGTCATCAGTTTCTGTACATCCAACAGTGACTAGAAGAATGCTGGGCTTAAAGGCTGTCGTGGAGCTGAGGCACACATGATGAAATTTTGAAAAGTAGCACTGTACCACAAAAGATCTGTGCTCTATTTTTTAGAAGGAAATAATTTTTTTTAAAGAAGGGGGGAAATGTGCATGAAGATGGTCCCTGCAAGTCTAAAATCCAAAACTTATAAACAATTTAAGTGGTTATAACTACTCAATGGATATTTACATTTTGGTTGCTGTACTTATTACACATCCTTGAGCAATTTACTTCTCTGTGCCTCACTTTCTGTCTCTTTAGAATGGGAACCTGCCTAACAGCCCTTGTGAAGAATAAGTTAGATAATTCATGCAAAGCAGCGGGAACAGTACCTACTGCAGAGTTAAGTGTTCAATTAAATGATGTCTCTCATTATTTCTCAGCTACTCTAAATAAATATAATGACTGTTACCAAGGTAAAAATGTTCACTATAGTGTTACAAATAAAGCGAAATATAAAATTATACATTAACTTTTATTACAATAATGTAAAAATATATTCCATAGTTTTTTTTAAAGAAAACACGTATTTTAAGCACCTATTATTATTGGACATCTTGTTAGGAGTAGGGCTATACATAAGCATTGAGTAAGTCCTAGTTCCTGATCGGAAGGCAGAGAGACAACAACAGAGAATTTCAATTCAAGTCGGGGAATGTGCATGAGATGCTAGAGGAGCAGACACGGAACACTCAGCCCAAGCCAGAGTTCGGGAAGGAACTCCTAGGAGATATGTCATACCTGAGTCAAAGCAGAGGGAACTAAAGAAGGGTACAATTTCCAATACAGCATCAATAATCAATTAGAAGATATAATGGAGGGTCAGGCATGGTGGCATGTAATCTTAGCACTTTGGGAGGCCACAGTGGGAGGATTACCTGAGGCCAGGAGTTCAAGACCAGCCTGGGTAACATAGCCCCCATTTCTACAAAAGAAAAAATTTTAATTTTAAAAAATTAACCAAGCATGGTGTTGCATGCCTGTAGTCCCAGCTACTGGGGAGGCTGAAGCAGGAGGATTGCTTGAGCCCAAGAGTTGAAGGCTGCAGTAAGTTATGATCACACCACTGTACTCCAGCCTGGGTGACAAAGCAAGACCCCATTTCTTTAAAAAAGAAAAAATAAAGGGATATTTGGATGTCTGGCAACATTTCCTCCCTTCCCCGTAGAAGTAACCAGCCATGGTTGAGAGGTGGAGCCCTCTTTTGGTGGGGCGATAGCTCTCAGCTTCATCATAACTCCCACCCACCCCTCTATGCAACAATTTCACCTACCCAGTCACTTTGGGATCTTATTTTTGAACACTGCAGAAAAAATAACAGCATGGGAAAACATGCACGACATTACATAACAGACAAGAGATTAATATCTGTATTCACACATAGAACTTCTCAAATGAATGTGAAGAAAATAAGCCAATTTTTAGGAAACTGGCAAAGACCATTTACAAAAGAAATACAAATGGCCAACCAACATATAAAAAGAATAATCTCTCTTCTAATTGGGAAAAATCACACTAGTGTTTTTGCCCATTAGGTTTGGGGAAAAAAAGATGATAATATTCTATCTTGGCAAGAGTATAGGGAACTGGCAAGCACAAACACTTTTGATGGAAGAGGAAATCAGAACAATTTTTTTGATGGGCAATTTGGCGGGAGCAACCAAAATCTATTTATTTATTTATTTTTAACTGTTTATAGAGATGAGGTCTCACTATGTTGCTCAGGCTGGAGTGCAATGGCTATTCACGGGCCCGATGAGAGTGCACTGCAGCCTTCAGTTCCTGGGCTCAAGTGATCCTCCTGCCTAAGCCTCCCAAGTAGCTGGGACTACAAGCGTGAACCATTGCACCCAGCTTCAACAAAATTTAAAACATGCATACACAGCTGGGCGCGGTGGCTCACAACTTAATCCCAGCACTTTGGGAAGCCTAGGTGGGCGGATCACGAGGTCAGGAGATCGAGACCATGCTGGCTAACAAGGTGAAACCCCTTCTCTACTAAAAATACAAAAAAAAAAAAAATTAGCCAGGCGTGGTGGCGGGCACCTGTAGTCCCAGCTACTCGGGAAACTGAGGCAGGAGAATGGCGTAACCTGGGAGGCGGAGCTTGCAGTGAGCCGAGATCGCGTCACTGTACTCCAGCCTGGGCAACAGAACGAGACTCCGTCCCCAAAAAAAAAAAACAAAAACAAAAAAAAAAAACACATACACTTTGCCCTACCTATCCAGGGATTCCACGAATTTGACATATGAAACTAACTCACATATGGCTACTAAGATACATGCACGCATCTACCAGGATGTTCAATGGCAGTGCTTATTGAAACATCCAATGCAAATGGAAGTGACCTAAATGTCCATAAATAAGGGAAGGGCTAATTACATTATGGTACATCCATAGGCTGGAATGCCACGCAGCCATTAAAAAGCGTGAGGTAAGGCCGGGCGCGGTGGCTCACGCCTGTAATCCCAGCACTTTGGGAGGCTGAGGCGGGCGGATCACGAGGTCAGGAGATCGAGACCATCCTGTCTAACACAGTGAAACCCCGTCTCTACTAAAAATACAAAAAAAAATTAGCCGGGTGTGGTAGCGGGCGCCTGTAGTCCCAGCTCCTCGGGAGGCTGAGGCAGGAGAATGGCGTGAACCCGGGAGGCGGAGCTTGCAGTGAGCCGAGATCCCGCCACTGCACTCCAGCCTGGGCGACAGAGCGAGACTCCGTCTCAAAAAAAATAAAAAAATAAAAAAGCATAAGGTAGATCTACATTTGTTGACACAGAAAAAAAACTCTCAGATATGGTTAAATGGAAATATCAAGTGCCATAATAATTAGTACAACCTAGACAATTTCAGAATTTTTAAAATGTGTAAGGTGATACACCCCCGTGCACATTAATATACATAAACACTTTTCCCCTATTGTTAACCACTATCAATATACTTATACAGCTGATCCTTTAATAACACGGGTTTGAACTGTGAGGGTCCACTTACATTCAGATTTTCTTCTGCCTCTGCCACCCCGAGACTGCAAAACCAACCCTTCCTCTACCTCCTTTTCCTCCTCAGCCTACTCAGCGTCAAGATGATAAGGATGATCCACTTCCGCTTAATTTTCTCTTCCTTAGTTTATTAATAACATTTTCTTTTCTATAGCATACTTTATTGTTAGAATAAAGTATATACTACATATACAAAATGTATTAATTGATTATGTTATTGGTAAGGCATCTGGTAAACAGTAGGCTATTCAGTAGTTAAGTTTTTGGGAGAGTCAAAAGTTATATGGGGATTTTTGACTGTGCAGGGTTTGGTGTCCCTGGCCCCCACATTGTTTAAGGGTTAACTGTATTTATACAAGTATACATATAATTTACAGTATAAATGTTTATACATTTATAATATCTAAAGGTAACAAAAGTCTGTTGATACACTGACACTTTTTTTCTGTACCCTGAGGGCAGACATTTACTCTTTTTACTCCACAGTTTTGTGTGTAATTTGCAGTTTTTCTAAGAATCATGCATTCATGCATTACTTGAATGCTTTTTTTTTTTTTAAGGGGATGAAAAGGGCCTTCCTAGAAAAAAAGACAAAGACTACCAAGGATGTATGAAGGGAAGAAAGAAGTGTGAGGAACTGTGGCACTAAGGATGGCCTGGTGAGCACCAAATGATGTGTAGCTAGAGGAATGCAAGAGGAGTGAGAGAACTCAGGGCCGCCCACCCCTAATCAGACCACCACCCATGGCCACACAATGTTCCTTTGTTGTTTCAATTACAGTGCATAGAATTTGTTTTAAAATAACACTTCTGATACCAAATTTTAAATATGGTATCATCTCAATGGTGTAAATAATGCATTAAAAATGGGCTGGCAGGAAATATGCCAACCTGGTTACTGCCTCTAGGAAGAGCGGGTAGGAATAATCATCTTTTTGCTTCTTCATTCTTTTCCATTTTCCAGTTTTCTGTAACTATGTATTATCAGGGGAAAAAGCATACTTTTCAAAATGAATTTCATATTATAGGAGAAATAAAGCCAGTTATTTCCCCCAAATAATCCCTGGCCGAGGAGGACCCTCGAGTCAAATAAACAGATATATAAAGGATTCTCTGTTACTGTTAAGACTTTCTTTGCCCAGCTGTGAGCTCCCCAACTCCTTGCTCCACACTTCAGGACCAGGACCCTGTGAGGATTGAGATGGAAACACGTGGATGGGAAGAAAGGGTATTTTCATCCTTTCTTGAGTTACATTGATTCTTTTCCCTGCTTCTGAATGACGCTGAGGCCTCCTAGGCGCTACCATCTTTATTTCCTACCATCTCTTCCTGTATATGCTCTTTGCTCTTGTTTTGATATTCCTTCCCTGGTTCCTTTCCCTTCTCCCCTCTCATCCCACTCCTCAAGCTCCTCCTCTTCCTTTCTTCAAGTCACCCTTGTTGGAGGCAGGAGAGATTTGCAGGATGGGAGGGGGAGAAGGTTGCGTAAATGAAAATATTCCAATTCTGTAGTTGAACACTTCCAGGCTCAAGCTGTGGGTCATGACGATGGCTGTCCAGGGAAGGAAGCAAAAGAGAGGATAAAAAATAAGAAAAGCAACCCCTATTGCAAACGTTAATACATTTCCAGTGATTATCTCTTGATCATGATGGGTATCACAGTGTGGAAGACTCTGTTGTCACAGTCACTGACATCAGAAAAAAATCCCCCAAAGTCAGTGTTACAGGTTACTGTCCAGTGTATCATTATCATCAGGATCAAATCCTAAAAACTAAGACAAATTTTTTAAAAATTAAGGGGCAATTTTCTTTTAAAGTATTCTTGTAGGAAACCACAACATCTTTTTTCACAAGAACAGAGGCAAAGAAAGCAGTTTCACCTAAAGGCACAATACCTGCCAAAAAACCACTCCACTTCTTGACCTCACTGGGGACGTCCTCTTCGCAATTTCTTAGTTCATTGGGAATTTTGCCAGCGCCAAGGCCAACAACATTCCTGAAGATGTCATTTCCACCACAGCACACCCTCCCCTATTTACTGGCTCAGTAAACACTGGGGTAATGAACTAATGAACAAGTGAATGAATGAGAAGGCAGCAGCACTCTGCCGGGGTGCTTACCTCTTCTGGTTCATGGAGGCCACCTGGAGCCACTCGTTGGTGCTGGGGTTGTAGGAATGCGCAGCGGAGATCTCCTGGCTAGTGATCCTGTACCCGCCCACTATGAAGAGGTAGTTGTCCAGGATGGCAGACCCATAGCCCCTGACATTGACCAGGTCGGGAGGAAGGTTGTTGGCCAGCGGGAACCAACGCTCAGTCATCTCCTCGTACCTGAGCATGGACGGGGGCTCCCCCTGGTAGGGGTGAGGGGCCAGGGGTCCCCCCAGGAAGTCCCCGAGGGCCACGAGGACAGGAGTCCCAGTCATCCGGGCCTCCCTCAGCCTCTGCTTCAGGCTGACATCCCCTGGAGCTTGGGGAGGAGACCCCAGGAGGTGGAACTGGGGCTTGCACAGCACCTCGTGGAAGTGGACGACCATGAAGCGCAGGCAGGCCTCCTGCAGGTCGGGCAGCCCGTACACCTGCGCCAGGCGGTACATCTCCAGGCAGTTATTGAGCCGCACCTGGGACAGCAGCAGCTGCAGCAGGGACGTGACCTGCAGGAAGGAGGCCGCCTCCACCAGCTCGGACAGCAGGCTCACCTCATCCATCTCCTCGTCCTCGTCCACCCCGCCGCCCTTTTCCCCGCGCGGGCCCAGGAGCCAGCCTTCGCGGGCCCCGCCGGCGTTGATGAAGTCCAGCACCAGCCGCAGGCCCGGCGCGCTGAGGCCGCGCAGCTGCTGCACCTCCGGGCCGCCGGCCTCCTGGCTCAGGGCCTCGCGCATGCCGGAGCGGTAGAGGGCGCGGAAGTAGTCGCTCTGCTCGATGAGCTTCCTCTTGCTCACCGGGTAGCAGCGGTCCTCCAGGCGGATCTGCACCATCTCCTCGGCCGACATGGCTGGGGGCCCCGGGGCGGCAGCGCTCACCGCCAGATCTGCGCGCCGGCCTCCCAGCCCCTACGCGCGCGCCGGTTCCGGGCGGGGCGCCGAGGGATGGCGGCCCGGGAGGAGCGGCGAGGTGAGGGCCGCCCGCGCTCGCCCGGCCTCTCCGGCGGCCCCTCCTCCCGGGGCCCGCTCCCGCGAGGCGGCGGCCCTGCCCTTCTCCTTTCCCTCAGCGCCAAAAAAGGGCCGGCGGAGCGCGGCGGGCGTCCTCGCGCGGGCTCTCCCGGGCGGCGCCAGGCGGGAAGGGAATTCCAGCTCCCAGCCAGCAGCCTCCTCCCCCGCCGCCCTTCTCACTTCCGCCCGCGGGACCCCAGCCGCCGGCCTGACCTGCCGGCTGGATCCGGCTCTCGGGGAGGCCCGGGAAGCTGCGGGCCCGGGCGCCTCGGCTGCGGACGCGCAGCTGCGGGAGGCGGAGGGCGCGCGTCCCCGCAGCCTCTCCGCCCGCCCGGGGCGCGCCGGCTCCGCCGCTTGTTGGGGGCTGCAGTGATGCTCCGGGGTACCCCAGGGAGAAGAAATTCGTTTTCTCTCCCACGCTGCTTTACACGGGCTAAAGAAAAAGAAATGAGCGTGGGAGGAAAGGGAAGGATGGAGTCTCTGGTCCAGGGAGACAAAAAGGCATCAAATATGGGGTCGTCCTTCTGGCCCAGTCCGGCATCGAGTGTCAGTGGGCTGAGGCACGCAGGCGATCTATGGACAGTTGGTGGCAATGTTGGTGGCACGTAGAGCTGATTCTCTGGTAGCGTGGTCGCGTAGGAGCCATCTTACAGGAGGTCCAGGCAGATGGCAGCAGGTTCTCAGAGGAATCGGGTTGGGAGGCAGGGGAGCTTGCATTTGCCACTGGGGCCCCTTATTCTCCCTAAGTTATTAAAAGAAAGATGAAAGCGCAGCCCGACTAAATAAAGTTACATCACGTGGCTTCTGGTTTTAAACCATGTTTTCTATGAGCCATTGCTTTTCTACTTCAGTCCAGTCCATTACGGAATGTTATCCTGGCGCAAAAGATCTGACAAAATTGGCTCATAAATGTCTGCAAGAAGTAGCTTTTCTTGTCACCCCCTTTCTCCACCTACCCTGCCCCCATCATCTGAGGACTATTAAGAGAGACCACACGTGCGGTTTGGCTGAGCGCGGTGGCTCACGCCTGTAATCCCATGACTTTGGGAAGCCCAGGTGGGCAGATCACGAGGTCAGGAGTTCGAGAGCACCATGGCCAACATGGTGAAACCCCGTCTCTACTAAAAATACAAAAATTAGCCGGGCGTGGTGGCACGCGCCTGTGATCCCAGCTACTCGGGAGGCTGAGGCAGGAGAATTGCTGGAACCCGGGAGGCGGAGGTTGCAGTGAGCCGAGATCGCGCCACTGCACTCCAGCCTGGGCGACAGAGCGAGACGCCGTCTCGGAAAAGAGAGACCACTTGTTTCCTATGTTCTCTCACTGAACATTGCAATTAGAAGGCCCACCCCAAATAATAATAGGAAGGACTTTTTGTCTTGCTAATGAATTCATCCCAGGAAGGGGGTGGGGGGAGAAATATATTGTTTGGATTATCTTTGGGTAGGAGAAGGGAGAAGGATTGGGAGGAAGCAGAGGGTGTGTTCACTCTTATCTTACAAAACAAAAACAGAAAACCTTGAAAACTTACCCCAAACCAAGATTTGAGAACCACCTATGATAAACAGTCCTTAACTTGGAGAGAATATGTGTTTGGTTTTTTTTTTTATTATTACAAGCTTCAGCTTTCTTCTTGAATGACAGATTGTTAAATAATATCTTCTTCATAAGTACATTTCCCCTATTTAAAGAAGATACATCCTACCATGCTAACATTTTACCTTAGGAAGGAGAAAGGGTTAAAAACCAGAGAACTAAAAGAAAGTCAAAGGTGAAACATGAGATCCTTTCAACATAGTTTGGTTACATTTGTGGTTCTTACTACGAAATTTATCTGCTTCACAGAGAGGTGTTGTTGTCATCTTTTACTTTGTTTATTATTATTACTTGGGAAAGGAGGTTTATCTTTTTATTTTTTAGAAAAAAAAATGCATTTTTTTTTTTTTTTGAGACAGAGTTTCCCTCTTGTTGCCCAGGCTGGAGTGCAATGCTGCGATCTCAGCTTTCTGCAACCTCCACCTCCCGGGTTCAAGTGATTCTCCTGCCTCAGCCTCCGGAGTAGCTGGGATTCCAGGCATGAGCCACCACACCCGGCTAATTTTGTATTTTTAGTAGAGACGGGGTTTCACCATGTTGGTCAGGCTGGTCTGGAACTCCCGACCTCACGTGATCCACCCACCTCGGCCTCCCAAAGTGCTGGGATTACAGGCATGAGCCTCCATGCCCAGCAAAAAAAAATGCATTTTTTTTTTCCATAGAGATAGGGTCTTGCTACCTTGCCCAAGACAGACCTCAAACTCCTGGCCCCAAGGGATCCTGCCACCCCAAGTGATCCTGCTGCCTTGGTCTCTCAAAGCACTACTGTGCCTGGCCTATTTTCTTTATAATAATGCTAGGAATAAGGAACTAAAAAATAAAAGACATAGAAAATGTTCTAGTAGATTCTGGCCTCCCTGGAAAAAAATGAAGGAAATAAAAATGGATCTATGACTTACTCAGTTGTTTTCTTGGATTCTATAAAAAACATTCATCTCTTCACCTTGTTTCACCTGGCCTTTAAATCGTTACTGATAAAACTCCATTTTCACATCAACCCTTCACACTTCCATTCTCTATGAGGGTGCAGTGAGACACGATAAGCTTTGGAGCAGGAGGTGGAGTGAGTGATCAAGCATTTAGCAGCTTCTTTGGGATGGTAGAGTGTAACATCCAGTATTAAGCATCAGGCTGGGGAATTTTGCTGGGATGCGTCCCCTGTATCAAAGAGACTTGGACCTACGATTTTTCTATGCCTCAACCGGCAACAATGCCAGATTCAGTGGGTCAGCCACAAAGAACAGGCTCTCAGTCTCTCCTCTGTCTCTTGAATCTTTCACCAATGGATGCTTTTGTTTCCCAGCCGTCATAGATATGCCTCAGACTGGTATTTTCTTGCCTTTTTAAAACAGACCAAAAAAATCATGCTCAAAGAATGATGTGCATTAGAAAGGCAATTCAAGCACAGTAACATTATCAGGGTAAGATGAGGTTGGACAGGGAGTCTGGGGTATTAGTCTCACAATACTGGGCATTGATCTTGTGAGTTTTTTTGGCTCCCAATATGATAATAACATTATTTAGGATTGGGAGCATCTTAAATGATCAAATCATTTTAATAAATTATGCAGTAAGTTTTCTGTTAAGCTAGAAATGCAAAGTCAGAGCAATATAAACTCCTTTATTTTAAAAAGACCTAAAATTATTCCTAGTCTTCCTGAAAATATTGCTTTATATAACTGGAGGTATAATTTTATAGATCTGTTATTGACTGATCATTGAATAATAAAAACCAGTTTTGTGGTACTATCTGTAAAACAGTTTTACAGAAGCGTAATGGTCAAATAGAGTTAGGTAATTTTTATTTTTTATTTTTTATTTTTTTAGACAGGGTCTCACTCTGCCATTCAGGCTGGAGTGTGGTGGCACTATTATGGCTCAATGAAGCCTCCCAGGTTCAAGTGCTCCTCCCAGAGGCCTCCCAGGTTCAAGTGCTCCTCCCACCTCAGCCTCCCAAGTAGCTGAGAATACAGGCCTGCGCCACTATGCCCGGTTAATTCTTACATTTTCTGTGGGGACGGGGTTTCACCATGTTGCCCAGGCTGGTCTTGAACTCCTGGGCGCAAGTGATGCTCCCTCCTCAGCCTCCCAGAGTGCTGGGATTACAGGTATGAGCCACCACACCCAGCTGAAGTAGGTCATTTTTTAAAGAACTTATGGAAAATATCCCTTTTGAAATAGCAAGTAGAAAAAAAAATCTTAGTACAAGATGTTTATCACAGTATTGCTTTTAATAACAAAAAATTGGAAAACAACATAATGTATAATAATAGTAGCTAATATGTATTGAGTGTTTAGCATGTGCCAGGCACTGTTGTAAGTGCTTTACATGGATTACAGTACTGTTTTTATATTTTACAGCTGAGGAAGCTGAAGTGCAGAGTAAATTTTGGTATGGTAGAATGAAATACCAAGGAGCCATTAGAAGTTTTTGTGTAGATCTTTCTTTAGGATCACTGAAAAATATACTTTTTTTTTTTTTTTTTTTTGAGACAGTCTCGCTCTTGTTGCCCAGGCTGGAGTGCAGTGGTGTGATCTCAGCTCACTACAACCTCAGCCTCCTGGGTTCAAGCCATTCTCCTGTCTCAGCCTCCCAAGTAGCTGGGATTACAGGTGTCTGCCACCACGCCTGGCTAATTTTTGTATTTTTAGTAGAAACGGGTTTTCACCATGTTGGCCAGGCTGGTCTTCAACTCCCAACTTCAGGTAATCCGCCCACCTCAGCCTCCCAAAGTGCTGGGATTACAGGCGTGAGCCACCACGCCTGGCTGAAAAATATACTTTTACATAAAGTTTAAAAAAAAAAAACAGATTTTGGAACAGCATATATGATTCCCTTTATGTAAACCTATATACTGTAAAATAAAATTTATAGGAGGCCAGTGCAGTGACCGATTCCTGTAATCCCAGCACTTTGGGAGGCCAGGGCGGGAGGATTGCACAAGCCAGGAGTTTGAGGCCAGCCTGGGCAACATAGTGAGACCTTGTCTCTACAAAAAAATTTAAAAATAAATAAAATGTATAGACCATTGGTTTGTTTAGTATTTATTTGAGACAGGGTCTTGCTCTGTTGCCTAAGTTGGAGTGCAGTGGCACAACCACAGTTCACTGCAGCCTCAACCTCATGGGCCCCACCTCAACCGGCTAATTTTTTAAAATTTTGTAGAGACAGGCTCTCCCTATGTTTTCCAGGCTGATATCAAAACTCCTGGGCTCAAAGCAATTCTCCCTCTTCGACCTTAGAAAGTGTTGGGATTATAGGTGTGAGCCACCGCACCAGCCAAGACCATTGGTTTGAACTGAGCTCCTGCACTAGCCCCAACAGATGAAACCAAAATGGAGTTACTCATGGTGATGTTCCATGATGCCACCAAGCCAGAACCAAGATCTGTATCTGATCTTTGAAAAAATCAGGAGAGAGATAATAACCAAATCCCCAGACAGGCCGCTTTTAACCAGTATGATAAGGCAGTGCCCTCTGCTTTAACCTTTACAAGGAAAGTAATCTTATTTATTTATTTATTTATTTATTTATTTATTTATTTATTTATTTTGAGACGGAATCTCGCTCTGTCGCCCAGGCTGGAGTGCAGTGGCGCGATCTCAGCTCACTGCAAGCTCCGCCTCCCAGGTTCACTCCATTCTCCTGCCTCAGCCTCCCGAGTAGCTGGGACTACAGGCACCTGCCACCACACCCAGCTAATTTTTTTGTATTTTTAGTAGACACGGGGTTTCACCATGTTAGCCAGCATGGTCTCGATCTCCTGACCTCGTGATCTGCCCGCCTCAGCCTCCCAAAGTGCTGGGATTACAGGCGTGAGCCACCGTGCCCAGCCCCTGCTTTTTATTTTCTATTTCTGCTTTCCTCAGCTCTTTTCCATCAACAAAGCCACCTCCTCTGCTCAGTTTATTGGATTTTATAGAATGAGGTGTTGCCCTATTCTGGAATCACAAATAAAAGCCAATTAAGGTCTTTAAACTAAATTTGTTGTAATTTTGTATTTTGACGTTCATATGTTTTTTTAAATAACAATATCCAGAAAGATGTTTATTAAGATGGTAAGTGCTTGAATAGTTTCTCTTTTTGTATTTTTCTATATGATTTGAATTATTAAAGTGAACATATGTTGATTTAATAGAAGCAAAAACATTTTTAAAGAAAAAACATTTAAGTTTTTCAGGTACCATTTTTTAAAAAATAATTTTTATTAATTTTATCAGCAAATGAAATGGAAACTCTCAAAAAATAAATAAATAATTAATTAAAGGTGAAATATTGACTGCTTTCCAAATGTCTTGAATTTACTAAAGCTATGCTATTACTTCACTACTATTTAAAAATTATTTCTCTTTGTTTTTTCAGTTCCTCAATATTCCTAAAACAACTTTATTTCTGGGGTTTTTTTTTTGTTTTGTTTTTTGGTTTTTTTGAGACAGAGCCTTGCTGTGTCTCCCAGGCTGGGGTGCAGTGGTGCAATCTCGTCTCACTGCAACCTCTGCTGCCCAGGTTCAAGTGATTTTCTTGCCTCAACCTCCCGAGTAGCTGGGATTACAGCCGTGTGCCACCACACCCAGCTAATTTTTGTATTTTTAGTAGAGATGAGGTTTCACCATATTGGCCACATTTGTCTCAAACTCCTGACCTCTAGTGATCCGCCCATCTCAGCCTCCCAAAGTGCTGGGATTACAGGCGTGAGCCACCATGCCTGGCCTATTCCTGTTTTTTAACAAGCAAAACTGAAGTATCTTCCTTTCATCAAAGCTTATGGAGTGATTTAAATGAGATAAAAGTAGTATATGGTCTTTAAATGGTTCTAGTTAACTAGGTTGAGCATCGTTGTTTAGGTAAAAGTTCCATTTATTTCGCTCATCTATCTATATCAGTGTTTCCCAAACATCTTAGGAAATCACCTGGGACTCTTGTAAAAATAAGAATGTCACTCTCCACTCAACAGCTACTGAATCAGGCTGTCGTGACTTTTAAAGTACAAATCACATTTGTGAACCCCTCTGCAGAGCAAGAGCACCCTATTGGAAAGAAATATAATGTATTCCACATTGCAACAGTGTAGTGGTTCTGGGTATTTGATAACAAGGCCTTATAACAAGTTTTGATTCAGTTGCATTGCTTCCTGGTTTCTGCAGTTTCAGCACACAGGGACAAGTTTTGAGATTGTTATGGATGCCTCCCTCTACCTCTGCATTCCAGTTTCTACCATTTCTTTTTAAAACACTTGGCCCCAAGAAGTTATCCATTTCCAGACAATGCAATCTCCAGAAAAAGTTTTACAAAATTTAAAGCATGCTTTTACATTGAGACTTGTAGATCCCTTTTTTGTTTGTTTGTTTTTTGTTTCTTAATAGCACCAGCCCCTGCAGGGCTTTAGTTAGTTAGTAAGTAGAGACCCTGTCTCCCTGTGTTGCCCAGGCTGGTCTCGAACTCCTAGGCTCAAGCAGTCCTCCTGCCTCAGCCTCCCACAGTGCTGGGATTATAGGCATTAGCCACCCCGCCTGGCCAAGACTTCTAGGTCCTTTAAAATGAAACTTTGATCTTTATTTAAATATAATCTGACAGCAAAAGGGTTAAACAATTGTGGCTTGTTCCATTATCCCTGAAAGGAATACGAGAACTTCAAAGAATTATATAGCACACAAAAGAACCTATACTTAATATGACTCAAAGACTTGAAGATTATAAGATTAGAGAGTAGACCTTCCTGTTTATGTCTCGAGGGCATTTTCTAAGAGAAATAGCCATGGAATCTCATAAAATATCGAGAGTAATTTTTTGTTACTCATCCTTTCCCTTCCTTCCTTTGCCATTATAAAACCTCTCTTCCCTATCCCTTCAAACAGATGGAAATGTCTGAGTCTTTGCAGGTGAGCAACTGAAATTTGCTTTCTGTAAGAAGTTCAATAGAATGAAATATTTATCATTTTGTGTATTCTATGTGGCTTAGGCAAGGTTAGGAGTTAGTGCATAATATAATTTTTGCTCAGAAGAAAATGAAGTGTTTCATATTTAAAGCTATTCAGTCTTAACTACTTTCCTTTTCATTATCAATTATTATCATGTTTCTAAAAATAAAAAGATATGTAATAACTAGATTGACTATTATTAGGAAACAGTTGAAGAGATGAACGTTCAAAGAATGCTGATGATTTTTGTGTCAAGAAGGTGAATGAGTCATTGTATAAAAAGGTATAAAAGAAATACGGATCACAGATTAGAAAGTTTCTCTTTTTTTAGAAGAAACAGTAGAGTGCTTTGTGCCAAAAGCTGATTATCACTAATGCTTCATATAAAATTGGATACAAAAAAGCAACAGTTTTATGCTTTGAGCTAATTTGTCACCTTGGATGTCACAGGATATGAAACCCACAACTTTCACAAAAGCAACAGTCCATTTTCACTGCCTTTTCAAATGTTTGGGCATTGCAATTGAAATGATTTTATTACTATTTAGAAATTTAAAAAGATTTCACCATTTTCCTAGTGTTTTTTGTTTGTTTGTTTGTTTGGTTTGATTTTTCTGGGACAGGGTCTCGCTCTGTCACCCAGGCTGGAGTGCAGTAGTGTCATCTCAGCTGACTGCAACCTCTACCTCCCAGGCTCAAGCAGTCTCCCACCTCAGCCTCCCAAAGTGTTGAGATTACAGGTGTGAGCCACTGTGCCTGGCCAAGGTTTTTTTTTTAAGTAAGAATGAAAACCCAAACCAGTGCAAAAAAATTATTTTTGGTGAACCTGAATGCCAGAACTTAAGTTCAAAGAAATCGAGATGATTTTTTAAAAAACAATCTGCAATCACAAGTTCTTTAAAAATCAAACAGAAGTGCCCTCACAAAATCATGTCTTGTTTATGATGAAATGGATACTTCCTTTATCTGATGTCAAGTGACTAACTTGTTGTTTCCCTCAGAAAGCCTCTTGACTAAGGTTTCCACTTGCCTTTATATTTACTTAGCAAAAGGTGTCTGTGACTATTCACTTTCAGAGAAAGAAGAAAAGCAGAAAAGAGAATGCACGTCTTAAGATGCTAAGGGACAGGGTATTGAAATAGCCTGGAAAGTGTTCAGAAAGAATGCCAGCAAATCAAATGTTCACCTGGAGCTCGGGAAGAAAAGAAAAATCAATGTGCAAAGAGTGGTCTTATTTTGCTAGAAAGTGACTCTCCAGAAAAGCTGCAAGGAAGCTCTCCCTTAACAACACCTCTGACGTTCCAGAGACTGTCCTAAACTCCAGTGTTCAGCTTCTGTCTGGAAATCAGACTTATCTTCGAGTCTTCCTTCATACAGGAAAAATGCATGTGGCAGAGGTAGCAGTGAACGTGATATTGCTCCTAAGCATGGGGTGGACATCAGACTCTCTCTGCTCACCCACAATTTTTTACAGAGACTGCTGGATCCGTCGCTTCCCAGGTCTTCTAATCAATCTGGAGGAGTCTCAGAAGCTGGGAGCCCAGTTCTTGAAGTATTATTCTGAAAGCACTGGCCAGAAGTGCAGTAGGAGCTGCTGTCTTCGGAAGGATGGTAAGTATTCATGATATGCTTGGGCAAAAATAAGAAGAAACTTCCAAGGATGAAGCCCTAAGTGAGGAGCCTTAGGCAGAGGCCAGTAAACAGTTGTAAAGAACTAGAGAAGATGCCCTAGGGTGTGGGAGAGAGAGGGAGAGGTAAGAGAGCCAGTGAAACTGATTTCACAGTCTGGGCCACAGCAGGCTCTATTTACAGATCTAATAATGACCCAGAATTTGATAGCACCTACAGGAAACAGAATCCTCTTTTCTTCACCAAAATGCTAAATGAAAGTATTTCCCCTAAGGTTAATTTACAATATTTTTACAGCTCAAAATATACATGATTTTAAAAATATTTATTTATTTCTCATTTTATTTTAAATTTTTAGAGACAGGGTCTCACTATGTTGCCCGGGCTGGTCTCGAACTCCTGGACTCAGGTGATCCTCCTGCCTCAGCCTCCCAAAGTGCTGGGATTACAGATGTGAACCACTGCACCCAGTCAAATATTTATTATAATTTCCCTTTCAAAGTACATTTTGTGATATTAGTATCATATCAAATTTTTTTTAATGTGCTGGGCCAGGTGCGGTGGCTAATGCCTGTAATCTCAGAATTTTGGGAGGCCGAGGTGGGTGGATCACTCGAGGTCAGGAGTTGGAGACCAACCTGGCCAACATGGTGAAACCCCCTCTCTACTAAAAATACAAAAATTAGCCAGGGGTGGTGGCAGGCGCCTGTAATCCCAGCTACGCGGGGGGCTGAGTTTGGAGAATCGCTTGAACCCAGGAGGCAGAGGTTGCAGTGAGCCGAGATCGCACCAGTGCACTCAAGCCTGGGCAACAGAGTGAGACTGACTCTCTCTCTCTCTCTCTCACACACAAACACACACAACTAAACTAAAATGTGCTGACTTGGGTTTACCAAATGTGGAATGTATTAAAAAACAATTTAGAGTGCGATTCATGTTTTGAAAGAAACAGGGAGATATATGTCAAATACCCGCCCCAAAATCATATTTCCAAATATTCCTCATAGATGTTTTGTCTGTCACATGGAATCTGCGTGTAGACTTCATCCATATAATATGATCAAGACCTGCAATTAAGAATGTTTATTTTATTATTGCAGGATTTCAAGTTATAATTGCCTAAAGACTTCTTTCATTTCTTTTTCATTTTTCCAAGATTTTAATGCTACTTGAAAATAAACAGCAAAAGCAACACAGCACTTTAAAATAATTCCCTTGGTTGTTCTACACTTTCTTTCCATGGTTTCATATCAACTTGTTAATTTCCAATGCCTCTTGCCCAATTACCTATGTAAGATTTTTGTGTATGTAAGATTATGTATGTAAGATTTTTGAGATGAAAATTGGAGCTACAATAATTAATTTAATAAGAGGAAATCTTTTTGAAAAGATAGCCAATCTGGATTTCCACCTTCCAGATGCTTTTAACTCCCGTAAGTCCTCACTGAGGGGAGATAGCGGAGGGGCAGGACGCTTTCTTGAATTTTCCCGTAGCATGAATTTACCTGACTCCACAGCAGAGAAGCTCTGGCCTTTGGACTGTCGGGGATACTGTAAGCGTATAGGGCAATCCCATGATTTTAAAGCCCGTGTAACTTCCCAGTTGTGGCTTTCTTCCTTCAGAACAAGAAAGAACAGGAAGGCACATTCCAGTTTTTAGCTGGAAGCCATAACTTTAAAATGCCACAATCCTGCTCAGAGCTGGGATGCCAAAACGTATACAAGGAATGTAAAACATGTTTCAAAATTGTCCTCTGCAGAATCAACTACTTTCTCATCAGAAATTTAAAAGTCTTAAGTTTGAATAGTTTTTCTTTCCCTTAAACTTTACAGCACAGTTCTCAGGGAATGTGTTTGTAATGTGTAATGTATTAGCAATGTATTATTAACTAATTTTTGTCTTATTCTTTCTCCTGGAAAAATAGAGTGCGGCAACATGAGGATGTCCTAGAAGTAATGATGGAGATTAACTCCTCACAGTTCACCTTACACAGCAGCAGTACAGGCTCTGCTAGCAGCAGATCCACAGCTTTAGGCATGCTTTGAGGTCTGGTAACCGGATGCTGGCCCTCTGTAATCTTATTTTATTAAAGAAGTTGATACCTTGGAGGGTAGCTCATGCCTGTAATCCCATCACTTTGGGAGGCCGAGGCAGGCAGATCACTCGAGGTTAGGAGTTGGAGACCAGCCTGGACAACATGGTGAAATCCATCTCCACTAAAAATACAAAAATTAACCAGGCATGGTAGTGCACACCTGTAATCCCAGCTACTCAGGAGGCTAAGTAAGGCAGGAGAATCGCTTGAACCCAGGAGGCGGAAGTTGCATTGAGCCAAGATTGTGCCACTTCACTCCAGTCTGGGTGACTGAAAAAAAAAAAAAAAAAAAAGTCGGTACCTTTTGGCCAATGGATATTTCATATCACATGGTCTCTACTGCACTGCAGCAGAAGTAGAATCTATGTTGCACTTTTGTGAGGATAGACTGAAGATTTGCATTACACAAATCTGCTTCAGGTTTTCCAGAACTAAGGAAACTTTTTTCTTTTTAAGTCTTCTCTTCCTCTGTCAGAGAACTATTTTCTTTTTCTTTTTCTTTTTCTTTTTCTTTTTTTTTTTTTTTTTTTTGAGACAGAGTCTTATCCTGTTGCCCAGGCTGGAGTGCAGTGGCATGATCTCAGCTCACTGCAACCTCTGCCTCCTGGGTTCAAGTGATTCTCGTGCCTCAGCCTCCTGAGTAGCTGGGATTACAGATGCGTGCCACCATGCCCAGCCAATTTTTGTATTTTTTTTTTAGTAGAGACGACGTTTCGCCATGTTGGCCGGGCTGGTCTCGAACTCCTGACCTCAAGTGATCCGCCACCTTGGCCTCCCAAAGTACTAGGATTACAGGTGTGAGCCACTGCGCCTGGCCAGAGAACATGTTTTAAAAAGCAAATTTGCTTAGAAAAGGAAAGACAGCATGAGCCAATAGTGTGTCCCCACCTGCTAGAATTCTACCTGCTAGCATCCCTGCCTGTCCAGTCCCTGCCTCTTTAAATGACACTGATTAGGCTTTCCCTTGGATGTGATTTTGCATGTGGGGAGAGTGCACACCTGCAGTCTAGGCAAGGTGATGCTCACACAGCCTGTGGCCTTTCCACCATCTGGGCCGCTCAGTTATTACTCTTTTGCCCTTCCCACTACTCCCTCTTCTTCTTTACAGCATTTGTCCGTGTATTTTCCTATTTCTTTCTCTGGTGACCCCCAGCCCCTTAGTATTCTGAGAGGACACTGTGCCTAGAAACCTGATATATAAATCCCCAGGGTTTTGTTGTTGTTGTTGTTGTTGTTGAGACGGAGTTTCGCTCTTGTTGCCCAGTCTGGAGTGCAATGGCGTGATCTTGGCTCACTGTAACCTCCTGGGTTTAAGCGATTCTCCTGCCTCAGCCTCTCGAGTAGCTGGGATTACAGGAATGCGCCACCACGCCTGGCTAATTTTGTATTTTTAGTAGACACGGGGTTTCTCCATGTTGGTCAGGCTGGTCTGGAACTCCCGACCTCAGGTGATCTGCCCCCCTCGGCCTCCCATAGCGGTGGGGTTACGGGAATGAGCCACCACGCCGGGCCCCCAGAGGTTTTTGTAGCTAATCTAACTTTTCATGAACACAAAATTCTGGGACCAGGAAATAATGAATGATTCCAAATATCCTGTGTGGGATGGAAAGTATGAAAGATTACTTTGAGAAAATCAGTATTTTATTTTAAAAAGGCATTTTCTGGCTGGGTGTGGTGGCTCCTCCCTGTAATTCCAGCTTTGGGGGAGGCAGATTGCTTGAGCTCTGGAGTTTGAGACCAGCCTGGGCAACATGGTGAAACCCTGCCTCTACAAAAAAATACAAAAATTAGCCCAGCATGGTGATGCGTGCCTCTAGTCCCAGCTATTTGGGAGACTGAGGTGGAAGGATTGCTTGGACCCGGGAGGTCTAGGCTGCAGTGAGCTGTAATCGCACCACTGCACTCCAGCCTGAGTGACAGAGCAAGACCCTGTCTCAAAAAATAAAAAAAAGTATTTTCCATATTCACAGAAGCAGTTACAATAGTTTATAAACATTCTGCAAAATGTCTGCATATTGCCCTGAAAAATACTGTTAATCCAGTATTCCTGAAACAAATCTAAGTTACTCAGAGTTCATGAAATTGGTGCAAATTGAGACCATCTGCAGATGTACTTCGCTTGTTTCCCTTTCAGTTTCCTGTAACCTGGCTGTCTTCTACCACAGTCCTATTCATGACAATATCAACTGCCTCCATGTTCACTGCCCAACACTGGAGAGCTGCATATTAGAGCCTGGAACCAGTGCCATTTTGTACAACATAACAGACGGTAATGATTACATATTTCAAGACTTTAAAAGAATGCTGGCGATATTCTAGTAGAGGCATATAGCTGAGAAACTGGCTGGCAATAGCCATATGTGAGTCCCTAAAATAATTATTTTCCAGTGAACTTGGGAAAAATTTTGGATATCTAGGACAGAAAACTGAAAGAAAATTCTCTTTAGTTTGATGTGTTCAGCAAAGAGTTCACTCCAGATTATAAATCATACATGATTGAACAAGAGCTTACCCACTGTATTTCATGAATCTCAAGAACTCTTAGCAAAGCCAAAGGAAGCATTTCTCGGCCAGGCGCGGTGGCTCATGCCTGTAATCCCAGCACTTTGGGAGGCCAAGGTGGGCAGATCACAAGGTCAAGAGATCGAGAACATCCTGGCCAACATGGTGAAACCCTGTCTCTACCAAAAATACAAAAATTAGCTGTGCGTGGTGGCGCACACCTGTAGTCCCAGCTACTCAGGAGGCTGAGGCAGGAGAATCGCTTGAACCTGGGAGGCGGAGATTGCAGTGAGCCGAGATCACGCCACTGCACTCCAGCATGGTGACAGAGCAAGAATCTGCCTCAAAAAAAAAAAAAGGTCCTGTGGTGGCTGAGGGGCCACTAGGAGATAAAGAAAATGCTAAATGGAAGTTTTGAGGGCCATGGACACTGCACACAGGATTTGGAAAAGAGGGATGTCAGGTTCAGGGAAACTTACCACCATGTGCTGACATACATTAGCATATCATTGGTCCCAAGATAACCAGTGTATTTTATTTTAGAAATATAAGTGTTTCGTGCCCATTTATGTAATCTCAGGGTGTAAATTAGTGACCATAAAAGAACAGATTTTTGCCATCAAAATGCAAAGGAGATAAATTTCTTTATCAGTTTGTATGTATTGAACACCTGATGCTCCAGGCTAGAATCAACACTGTGGAAGATCGCAGCCATATCTCTGCTCTCAATTTCCTTTATAATCTAGATGATGTGACAAATCTTACAATTATTGTTAAGACACAACTAAATACAAAAATATGTGAAGCTGCCTCAGTGCAAAGTTTCAAAGGGGAGGCTAGTGAAAGTCAGCGTATTCAGAGGAGGTTCATGGAAGAAGGCAGGCAGAAGAAGATAATGAGTTCTATATTATGCCACAGGAGAGTAAGCAAACAGATCTGGCCACAATAAGGAGACATGTAGTTGCAATGAAAATATGGCTAAGATAAGGTAGGGACAGGTATCGTAAGGGCCATGGACAGAGTAGAGTTTTGATTTGACTTTGTCAGAAACAGAGAACAAGGGCATTTAATGAAAAAACATGTGAAGTGATATCTATTTGTCCTAGTCCAGGAAAATTATATGCAGGTACAGATTAGAAAATCTAGTCAGGGAAGCATTAAAGTCTGCACAAAGTGACTGTAGTTGAAATGAAGAGAAGGGATAATTACCAGAGCATTGGGAAGATTGAATAAGGACTTCATCACCTTTTTAATAAAAGGAAATGAAGTGAGTGGAGTCAAAAATCACTTTGCAAGCCCGAGTGCAGTGGCTCACGCCTGTAATTCCAGCACTTTGAGAGGCTGAGGCAGGAGGATCACTTGAGCCCAGGAGTTTGAGACCAACCTGAACAACACAGAGAGACCCCCATCTCTACAAAAAAAATTAGCCAGGCAAGGTGGTGTGTGCCTGTGGTTGGTCCCAGGTACTCATGAGGCTGAGGTGGGAGGATCACTTGAGCCCAGGAGTTCAAGGTTACAGTTAGTTATGATTGCACTATCACACTCCAGCCTGAGTAACAGCTGTCTCTTAAAAAAAAATCACCTTACAGTGTAGATTTCAGTGTGGGTGATGGAAGAATGATGATGCCAATGAAGGAGAGAAGGAGGCAGAGGTAATGATTTTGGCTTTGGGCATATTAAGAGATGATGTAAGAGGTCCAGATGGAAACCTCCAATAGAAGACTGGATAAATGAGATCAGAGCTCAAGAAAGAGGGGAAAACATACTGATATGGGTTTCAATACCATTGATGTAGTGGTGCCAATTGAGCACAATCTCTTTGTATGTGTTGGAGGGGAGGGGGCAGTGAAGAGAAAATACAGCTGAAAACCAAGGACTGAAGATTATGGAAACCACACAACCAGTGAGATTGTACAAGAGAACCAGCAAAAGAAAGTAAAAATGAGAGGCAGGCAGTCTGGGAGAAAATGCCAAGGGGGTCCGGGGTCCGGGAAGTCATGGAAGAAGAATTCAAGAAGGTGGCCGGCAGCATCAAGGACAAGAGAGAAGCCAAAGCAAGGTGACGTGAGTGATCAGGAAGTAAGGAAACAATTGACTACCTCAGAAGCAACGGATGCTGGCATGTTTGCGCAGAGAGAAAGAGAGAGAGAGAGATCACCAGCAGGGACCATTGGAAAGCTGTTGAGAGTTTTTTCTCTTCTCCTATAAAGACAAAGCAGTATTTGTTCATGTCTGAAGTTAGAGGGAAAGGAGTTAGTATACAAGGGAGAAAATACTAAAGACAAAGCAAGACCCTCAGAGGTCGAAAAGGGATGAGGCGTAAGGCTTTGCTCATGATTTTGCTTATAGTCACTCTTCTCAGGCCCTATTTTGCTTAACTTGATTTAAAGATGCTATATTGCTGGGTGCAGTGGCTCCTGCCTATAACCCCAGCACTTTGGTAGGCCGAGGCGGGCGGATCGCTTGAGCTCACAAGTTTGGGACCAGCCTGGGCAACATGACAAAACTCCATCTCTACAAAAAAAATACAAAAATTAGCTGGGCGTGGTGGCGCACACCTGTAATCCCAGCTACTCAGGAGACTGAGGTGAGAGGATTGTTTGAACCTGGGAGGCAGAGGCTGCAGTGAGCTGAGACCATACCACTGCACTCCAGCCTGGGTGATAGGGCAAGACCCTGTCTCAAAAAATAAATAAATAAATAATAAACGCTATATTGTGTCTCAAATCGTTACTGTTTCTACAGCTCTCAAAGTAACACTCGCTATTGTACAAAAACCCTGACAGACACAAAGCCTTCTCCTTGGGTGTAGTCAAATTTGTTCATTAAAAAAAAAAGTGTTTTAGAAAGTTAAGATAAATTCAAATGTAGCCAGTATGTTTGGAAGCCTTTGAGAAGTATGTGGTAGTAGAACGTGAATTTAGCTTCGTTCGATAACTCATAGCGGCAAAAGCCAACCCCTTCTCCAAACTGTGCTTTAGGGTTTTTGCTTTGAAAGTAAAAATAAAATGAATGATGCCTTATTTATTTTTCAGGTATAGATCCGGATTTGCTGGTTTTTGAACAATCTCCCACATATCTAAATACTCGTTCTTCATCCAATAGATGGGACAGACTAAGGATTCTAAAAGCTATGAATTTAGATAAACAAACCACCACGATAAATGGTATGCTGCCATCCACAGAGGCTCCATCCTCAACCACGCATCAAGATTTGGTTGTAAACACAAACAGTACCAGTTATTCTAAGGAATTAACCACAGATTTTTGGGCAAGATTTACTTCCCTGAATGAGTCCATTACCACAAAGATAAATAAGGTGTCACCAAGTACTGATTTCATCAGCAATCCAGATAATAAGACTATTTCTCCTTTCTTTGAACCCATAGACACAAAACTTTCTCATATGCCTGTTCCACCTGGACTCAACAGTAGCAAACAATTACTAAACAAAACCAAAGGATACAATAGCAGAAACCACACATCTGCAAATGAAGATGAGGTATCTGTGACTTCAAAGACTTGGCTGGTTTCTGTGGCCCTTTGCACCTCTGTCATCTTTCTCGGCTGTTGTATAGTCATCCTGGCATCTGGATGCTGTGGAAAGCAGCAGGGCCAGTATAAACCAGGACAGAGAAAATCAGGATCCTTGCAAATTAAAAACCGTAACCATATGAAGGAGAACTCTTCATAGTAAAAACTGTAGCAAGATTATATGCTTTCAAGGATATCATTTTTAGTTTTGTGTAAGAAAACGCAGTTTGGTTAAAAAAAAAAAATAGGCTGGGCGTGGTGGTTCATGCCTGTAATCCCAAAACTTTGGGAAGCCAAGGCAGTAGATTTGCTTGAGCCCAGGAGTTCGAGACCAGCCTGGGCAACATAGTGAGACTCTGTCTCTATAAAATGAAAAATAATTTAAAAAAAGCACATGGGGCGATATGATGCACCTGTGGTCCCAGCTACTTAGGAGGCTGAGGTGGGAGGACTGCTTGAGCCCAGGAGGTCAAAGCTGCAGTGAGCTGTGATTGCACCACTGCACTCCAGCCTGGGCAACACAGCCAGACCCTGTCTCAAAAGAAAACATAGGATGCTCACTCCTACCAATCTGTGAAAAAAAAAAAAGGCTAATGCTTGATAAACATAACTGCTTTCTTTGTTGTTATTTCTATTTTTTAAGTAGTGTTCCCTCTGCCAGAGTTGCAAAATTCTGATCCTTATAGTTGTTACTGAGAGACACTGTTCGAGTGCTTTAGGGGCATGAACTCACTGAATCCTTCCAACCCTGAGAGGTGGGTGCACTGCTATTAACCATGATACTATTATTATCACATTTTACAGACGAGGCAACTGAGGTGAAGAGAGGTTAAACATCTTCCCTAAAAACACACAAGTATTAAGTAGTGAAGTCAGGACTTAATTAAACACAGGCAGTCTCGTTCAAGTCCCTGCTCAAAATCACTGTTAGACTCAGAGCCTATGTTTTCCCAAAAAGCATGAAAAAATAATACCAGGAAGAAAACACCACAATATCATCATATTGGCCTCCCAGTCAAGGTCAAATTATTGTCACGTATAGTAATGCAATCATGTAGTAATTTGAGCAAAAGAACAGTTACTAACAGTTACTAACCCATAAGCAAATGCTTCCTGATCTTAATCTAGCTTTCTACTTTCAATTGATTAATCCTTCTCAATCCCAACCCGTCTTCATCTTCCTTTCAATAATTGTGCTACAGAGCTCTTTGAGCTTCTTGTGTTGATTTCTGTTGAATAAAGCTTGGGAGTTTTAGTTTTAGTTACATCCCTCACTTGTATACATTCTGTTTTCCCAGGTGTAAAGATTAGCTCCGGGTGTTTCAGTTCTGTCCAAATCTTACAGATTTACCCCCTAAATCTTAGAAGACTCTTAAGTGTGGAATACTGTAGTTCAAGTCTCTAATAAACTTAAGCTTTTTAGGCCCCTATTCTCATTCCTGAAACCTGTTTTTAATGTGAGAACAGATATTAAAAGACAGATAATAAGTATAAAGAATAAATAAGGGCCTGGGCACAGTGGCTCACGCCCATAATCCCAGCACTTTGGGAGGCCGAGGCGGGAGGATCACCTGAGGTCAGGAGTTCGAGACCAGCCTGGCCAACATGGCAAAACCCTGTGTCTACTAACAATACAAAAATTAGCAGGGCATGCTGGCACGTGCCTGTAATCCCAGCTACTCAGGAGGGTGAGGTAGGAGAATCACTTGAACCTGGGAGGTAGAGGTTGCAATGAGCTGAGATTGCACCGCTGCACTCTAGCCTGGGCAACAGCGAGACTCTGTCAAAAAAAATAAAATAAAATAAATAAGGGGAAAACCTATTTATAATACTTATAATATAGTACTGTTTCCTCATATGTTAAAACGAACTGTCCATGGGTACACTAAATGTCCAGATTTCATCACTATGCAATATATCCATGTAACACAACTGCACTTGTACCCCTAAATCCATAAAAATAAAACATTTAATTTTGAAAGAAAAGAAAACCCAAATTTTCTAAGTCCAGTGGCTTCAATTTCCTTTTCTTTCCCTGGTATTAATACGGGTGGAAAAAGAGAATGACTATTTCTTTTAATACAAAAGAAAAATATAAAATCTCTTGCAGTTGAATACTAACCACAGCTAAAAGTCTGATTTTAAAATTTAATCAAAAGGCCAGGCATGGTGGTTCATACCTGTAATCCAAGCACTATGGGATGCTGAGGCAGGAGGATCACTTGAACCCAGGAGCTTGAGACCAGCCTGGGCAACATGGCAAGACCCTGTCTCTACAAAAAATACAAAAATTGGCCAGGTGCGGTGGCTCACACCTGTAATCCCAGCACTTTGGGAGGCTGAGGCGGGTGGATCACCTGAGGTCAGGAGATCGAGACCATCCTGGCTAACACAGTGAAATCCCCTCTCTACTAAAAAATACAAAAACTAGCCGGGCGTGGTGGCATGAGCCTGTAGTCCCAGCTACTCGGGAGGCTGAGGCAGGAGAATCCCTTGAACCTGGGAGGTGGAGGTTGCAGTGAGCCGAGATCTAGCCACTGTACTCCAGCCTGGGTGGCAGAGTGAGACTGCATCTCAAAAAAAAAAAAAAAAGAAAAGAAAAAAAATTAGGGGGGTGTGGTGGTGTGTCCCTGTAGTTCCAGCTACTTGGGAGGCTGAGGTGGGAGGATCACTTGAGCTCTGGAGGTCGAGGCTGCAGCAAGCCATGAATGTGCCACTTCACTCCAGCCTGGGCAACAGCCTGGGCAACAGAGTGAGGCCTTGCCTTAAATAAATAAATACATAATCAATTAAAAAATTAGCCAGGCATTGTGACACACACCTGTAGTCCTAGCTACTTGGAAGGCTATGTTGGGAGGATTGCTTGAGCCTGGAAGGTTGAGGCTGCCCAGGAGGCGGAGGTTGCAGTGAGCCAAGATCATGCCACTTTACTCCTGCCTGGGCAACAAAGTAAGACTCTGTCTCAAAAAAATAAAAAAAATCAATTTACCTTAACTTGTGATAATTCATAAAATTAGGTGTCATAAATTTTATCAGTTTCTTCCCTAATACATTAGGGGGAAAAAAACCCATGCTATTTGAAGCAGGGAGTGGGGGGAGCAAGATTTAAATTACCCTAAAATTATATTTACAGAAATAATTCAGTAAGCTGTCTTTATACATTTTTGTACATACATTTAGAAAATCATTACTTTTTTTTTTTTTTGAGAGAAGTCTCGCTCTTGTCCCCCAGGTTTGAGTGCAATGGCTTGATCTTGCCTCACTGCAACCTCTGCCTCCTAGGTTCAAACGATTCTCCTGCCTCTGCTTCCCAAGTAGCTGGGATTAAGGTTCTTGCCAACACGCTTGGCTAATTTTTGCATTTTTTAGTAGAGACGGGGTTTCACCATGTTGGCCAGGCTGGTCTCAAACTCCTGACCTCAGGTGATCTGCCGCCTCGGCCTCCCAAAGTGCTATGATTACAGGCGTGAGCCACCACGCCAGGCCGAAAATCATTACCTTTAAGTATATGTGAATTGCTTAGAGGTTTTCCAATAGACTAGGGCTGCTAGAATTAAAAAGGCTTTTTTTCCCCTTGGGGTTTCTCAGAATTTTACTCATTCCTTAAAGCTGATAATTTCATATAAATGACCTTAATTTGGGAAAAGTATATTTACCTTCTAAGAAAACAAATTCCTTTTCTTCTTCAACCCTTCTGACCATTAGATAAATTGAGTAAATTTGGACTGGAGAGACAACAGACCAGAATCAGTTAAGAACTAAAACAACTGAGACTAGAAACTGCTTTCTTACTGGGAGGCAGAGACGAAACAGAACTTCCGAATAAAATTTTAAATTTTATTAAGAAACAATCAGACCAACTCAGGCAACATAGCAAGACCCCATCTCTACAAAAATAAAAAATTAACCAGGTGTGGTGGCATGCTACTTGGGAGGTTGGGAGTAGCTGGAGGTCCTAGCTACTTGGGAGGTTGAGGTGGGAGGATCGGTTGAGACCGGGAGGTTGAGGTTGCAGTGAGCCATGAATGTGCCACTGCACTCCAGACTCCAGCCTGGGCTGGAACAGAGCAGACTGTGTCTCCAAAAAAAAAAAAAAAAAAAAAAAAAAGGGACCACGTTGGAAAGATTTCATGGTTACTTCCTAGGTGGGTGTCACAACCTTGGCCTTAGTTATTGACTGGACCCCAGGGTCCAGTTTGTTTGTTTCTTTTTCTTTTTTTCCTTTTCCTTTTTTGGAGACAAGTTCTTGTTCTGTCACCCAGGCTAGAATGCAGTAGTGTGATCATAGTCACTGCAGCCTTGAACTCCTGGTCTCAAGCAATTCTCCCACTTCAGCCTCCCAAGTTGCTAGGCGTGTGCCACCATGCCTGGGTAATTTTTATCTTATGTAGAGACAGTGTTTCACTTTGTTGCCCAGACTGGTGTCCAAATCCTGGCCTCAAGCAATACTCCCACCTTGGCCTCCCAAAGTGCTGGGATTACAGGCATGAGCCACTGCGTCCAGCTTCTCCAAAAAAAAAAAAAAAAAAAAAAAAAAAAAAAAAAAAGTCTGTAACTGTTTAGTATTATGAAACACCAATATTGCATAAATATGCAAAAGAATTAAAGCACCCTACAATTAAGAAAAGAGATCTGATCTACATCTTAGTTGCCTATGTGTTTAAGCAACTTCTGGGCTATACAATTTAAGTTTAAAGTCAGAAATGACTGCATTAATATAGCAAAGTATCCCCTAGCATTTTCATTATAAAGATGAATATAATGCTCCAATTGCATACATTCTGTCAACTAGCAGATTTTAAAGGACAAGGATCTGATTAATGACAAATAGTGCTGCTTAATTTTGCTAAAATTACAATAACAACAACTGTTTTATATATACATACAGATATATATGTATATATACATTTTTAAAGTACAGACAGGGTCTTGCTATGTTGCCTAGGCTGGTCTCAAACTTCTGACCTCAAGCCATCCTCCCACCACAGCCTCCCAAAGTGCTGTGACTACAGGCATGAGCCACTGCATCCGGTCCAACTGTTTTGTTTTTGAGGCAGTTTTGTATTAATCCGTCAGCTCTACGATTTTGCCATTAGGAATCAACAATTGTTTAAGAGTCTTCAGGTTACTTGGAGTTGGCCAAACTGCAAAAGATGATAGAGTCCTCTACAAGGCCATCCTACTTCTGACACCAACTGTAAGTTTGTGGGGGATTCCTTAAACAACCCTCAGGCTCAGTAATTCACTAGAACTCAGAACTGAATGAAAGCTATTATTCTCACAATTACAGTTTATTACAGGGAAAGGATACATTAAAGTGGCCCAACAGAAGAAATACGTAAGTTGAGGCCCAGGAAGCGTTCAAATGTTTAGTTTCTAGTGCTCTCCCCTAGGAGTCAGGACACATTACTCTCCTACTATCAGTGTGTGACAATATGCATGGAGTATTGCTAACCCAAGAAGCTTACTCAAGCCTCCGTGTTCAAAGATTTTTTTTTTTTGAAACGGAGTCTCGCTCTGTCACCCAGGCTGGAGTCCAGTGGCGCGATCTCGGCTCACTGCAAGCTCTGCCTCCCGGGTTCACGGCTTTCTCCTGCCTCAGCCTTCCAAGTAGCTGGGACTACAGGCGCCTGCCACCACGCCTGGCTAATTTTTTGTATTTTTAGTAGAGACGGGGTTTCACTGTGTTAGCCAGGATGGTCTCAATCTCCTGACCTTGTGATCCACCTGCCTCGGCCTCCCAAACTGCTGGGATTATAGGCGTGAGCCACTGCGCCTGGCCCAAAGATTTTACTGGACTCCATTATGTAGGTATGATTGCTGATTGTCTGCTGAGTCATCTCGGCTGCCAGGTGGACTAATATCATGTGACTGAAAGCCCCCACCCTAAATCACATGGTAGGTTTTTCTGGCATGTTGGTCCCATCCTGAGATCTTTTGGGGCCAGTTACCCCACTAAACAAAGACAGTCCTATCAGGTACGATATAGATTACCTCCCAGAAGCCAAGGGCAAAGGCCAGACCTCTGAGTAAGGTCAAATTCTTTATTACACATCCTCCTCTTTGCTTTCATCTGCACTGTATTATTACACAGGATAAACCACCCTAAGCTACCGCTCCTTTACATGTTCCCAAATGATCATCTCTTCTCAGCTTCTACTGTTTTCAAAATGTTTCCTTCTTCAATCCTGTTAGGAATCTGAGTTTTTCTTAACTCCGAATGAGTCTCTAAATGTACTGGTATGTTTCTTGAAATATGCTCTAAACATGATCTAAAATTTTGGTTTTTATCTGTACTGCTTTTCATCTACTACTTACCAATTCAGCTCAGTCTAGCCCCTTTTGAGTTCATTCATAAGTCAGCCCTAGGATTAAAATGATAAGTAGTATAAGGGTGCCCCAGCAGGGCACGACATGCCTCTTTCTCTCCTTTTTGTACTCAAGGCCATATTGTCCTTCATAACCTACAGACTCCTGGCCTCAATCACACCAGATCATACCTTCATTTCACACAAATGGTTTAGGAAATCGTTGTGAAATTCCATTTTGGCTTTCATTTATACTCTCTAATTCTTCTAGGCAAAATAAGTCTATTAGGCAAATAAACTCAGTAATTCCTTTATTTTGATTTTAAATTAATCACAACCATCGAAGTGGTAAGAAACAGCTGACAGGTGTACTTAAAAATACTGAATTGACAGCTACATTGAATGCAGGGTTTCCCAGGGTAGTTCTTATTTTGTCACTTACTCCAATTACATTCAAGGTCGTTATGCCTCATCTTTTTCCTGAGCTGTGGCAGCTCTAACTGGGGCACCCAGAGAGATACATACCAGGTAATCTCCACTTCTACTTTTCTGGTAGCTTGGCCCTGGCAAAATGAGCCCCACAATCTAGAAAGTAGGATGCTAAACAAAGTTGAATCAACATATCTTTTTAGAAAATATCAGGTTAGAGAATACTCCTGAGGACCTGTTTCTAACCAGAGTTGACAAATGTGAAAAATGCATCAGCTAGACAGCAGTCATGTGAACACAGCCCGGAACTGCAAGTCAAGGAAATGGGTTCTGGGCCTGCCTTCCCAGGTAACCAAAACCATTATTCAAAAGCAACTACTGAAATGCCAGCTTGTGGGGAAAGAAATGGGAAAGGTGATAAAATCACAATTAAATGCATGTATATACATGAATACCAAAGCTATTATGTAGAAATAAAATCAAAACACTTTAGACCAAGAAGAAATCAGAGACCTCCTAGTCTATTGCCCCAGTGTAAAAATTAAAAAACTCTGGAGTAATCATTGCCATTAAGCATTAGTATGAGGGAAATAATTTTAACTCTGAGGAAAAAAAATGATTTTTTAACATTTTCAATTTTATATCAAATTAGATACTGATCACATATATCATAAAATTAATAAATCAAGCAGATTTTTCTACTCCATAATTCATGTCACATTTAATAGTCTCTTCACGGATTCTTTGTACTGAGAAATGGAATTTTCATTTTCCTCCTCATTTTTAAGACTAACAACAGACTTTTTGTACTCTTCAATTTCTTTAGTACCAAGGAGCTCTTCTTTATTTATTTCCATATTTTTCTCAGCAGCTTTCATCTGGAGAAGCGTTTCCAGGATATTTCTTTCTGATGAGCTATTTTCCCATATATACTCTTCCATGTCTGCTTCAGTCTTACTTTTTTCCCATTCTTCAGTATTCTGAAACAAAACAAAACAAAAAAAAATGAGTTCTGAATTCTGAGAAATATCAAATGTTTGTTTGTTTCTTCCTTTCTTTCTTCTTTTTTTTTTTCCTTCCTTTTTAAGGGAAGAGAAGTTTGCAAAATGTGGAGAGGCCCTGGCCAACACCTTGTCTGTGCACTTTGGCCCCTTAACCCTGTACTGTTAGCCACCTGCACCTGCGCTTGAGGGCTGCACACTCTGTCACGTGAACACTGGTCTGTCAAGCTCTGTTACCACTCGCTACTCTATCCACATAATTACAATCTGTCTGCCTTACAATCTGTACTTACAAAGATATGCTGTTTTCCAGCAGATACAGAAAATAACTTTTTGCAGCTATTCTCTAAACCCTAATACATCAAGATTTCACTTTTTTTTTTTTTTTTTTTTTGAGATGGGTCTCACTCTGTCACCCAGGCTGGAGTGCAGTGGCACAATCACAGCTCACAGCAGCCTCGACCTTGCAGTCTCAGGTGATTCTCCCACCTCAGGCTCCTGAGTAGCTGGGACTACAGGCGCCCACCACCATGCCTGGCTACTTTTTGTATTTTTTGTAGAGATGGTGTTTTGCCATGTTGCCCAGGCTGGTCTCAAACTCCTGGGCTCAAGTGATTATTCTGCCACGGCCTCTCAAAGTCCTGGGATTACAGAGGTAAGCCACTGCGCCTGGCCCAACATTTTGCATTTCTGAGTTGTAATCTTCAACTTCTTTAGTACCAAGGAGATCATTATTAAAAATAATGAGAGCTGAGAGGAGACTGTATTTATTTCTGTGATATACTTGTGGGATGATGAGGAAGACTAATTAATTATTAAAATAAAATTAAGAATATGATGCACATAATACGTGGTTTTTAGTCATAATGACTTCATATATCCTGGAATTTTCTTTTTTCCCCCGCCAAGACAGAGTCTCGCTCTCTTGCCCAGGCTGGAGTACAGTGGGGCCATCTCAGCTCACTGCAATCTCTGCCTCCTGGATTCAAGCGATTCTCTTGCCTCAGCCTCCTGAGTAGCTGGAAGTACAGGCGCCCACCACCACGCCCAGCTAATTTTTGTATTTTTAGTAGAGTTGGAGTTTCACCATGTTTTCTAGGCCGGTCTCAAACTCCTGACTTCAAATGATCCGCCTGCCTTGGCTTCCCAAAGTGTAGGGATTACAGGCATAAGCCACCACACCCAGCCTATCCTGGAATTTTATTTTGTTATTATCTTTCTGTTCCCATAATGTGAACAATGTTTTGTTACTACTCGTTTTTTCTTACAAAAATTATTACCATGCTATTCTAGGGAACACTGGTAGGCTTTACAGTAATACAGCATAATTCAGATTTATGATTTAAATGGAGATGTAACAGTCTGTGAAAAATCAAGCAATACAGCTAATAAGTAATATACCCTGGTTCAAAGAAGTGCTGAATACTAGTCACATTTTTTTTCCAAATTAACACATAATAATATTCTGAGCTACAGGCTGCTATGGAATCATCTATTATTCTGAATAACAACTTTTAAAGGTGGCAAAATATTAAAAGATGAGTATATTTGTGAGGCTGTCAGAAATACTATTCTACCTCTAGAAAATCCCCTTCAAAGAGATTCCAGCTTGAGTAGACAGCTCCAAGGCTCTGCAGAGCTGAGTGGGCACCAAGAAGCAGGTAAGGTTTCCACCCGTGCCACCCTCCCACCCCTATCCCCACTACAAGTGCCTATGAAAAGAAAAGAAAGCATTGGAGATGTGTTCCTCCAAGGGTAAAGAGGAGCCCCACCGATCACAAATAATAGGCCACTGGGGACAACACCGAGTCAGCAAACCCTGCTCAGATCACCGAGGCGAAAGGAAGAGACTTAGGAGAAGAAATTCTCCTTTGAATCCTTCAAACTGGGTACCATTCCTTCAAGGGAAACCAGTAAGATGCAGGATGTCTTCCCTGGCCCCCAAATTCCTGAGCCAAGTGGGGTATATTTGCACTTACAATTCCTGCATGTTTGCCCCACCTCCCTGTAATAAATTTATGGCTGTGGACAGCGTCTCAGCATATGTTCTAGAAATATCCAGTTGAGAACCAACTCTGTGTCCTCTTTTAAAAAAAATCTGGTCGGGAGGTTTTAGGCTTGGCAGGGAAGGCATAATGTGAAACAACTTCTTTTTATTTTATTATTATTATTTTTTAGGCTAGTCGAGTAGTGAGAACGGGGTAAGAGCAGAACAAGGCATTCAATCTGTAACTGAAACTGACTGTGAACAATCAACTGAGATAACTCACTACCTTTAGACCAGCCTGAAACAACTTGGTATGCCTCTCGCCCACAACTCTGCTGCAAATAATTTCTAACAAACTCTGAATCTGCGCATTAAAAAAAATTGGCAAAATTATCCTACCCCACCTAATTTTTACTGTAATACTTGAGAAAGGAATAAATGTCAGCCCCTTAAAAAATAAATGTCCTAAATTAATTACAT
Source organism: Homo sapiens (assembly GCF_000001405.40). Taxonomy (NCBI): domain Eukaryota; kingdom Metazoa; phylum Chordata; class Mammalia; order Primates; family Hominidae; genus Homo; species Homo sapiens. The sequence continues at coordinate 27,752,692 of NC_000012.12, read as the reverse complement.
TATTGGTTCTATCTACTCTTAGAAATGTTTTAAAGGTTTCAAGACAATGTCATAGTTTTTTCACAATTCAAACTTACAGGGTAAAATATACTTAATCTAAAAAACCGACAAATACATTTTATAAAGCGTTAAGTAAAACGGTCACTCCATCTCATTCCTGACTCAACTGCCTGACTGCTAGAAGACAGGCAATTAAGAGACTTAACTATTTAGTATTTTTAAGTTTCACATGTTTTATCTGAATTTTCTTAACGGCTTCAAAATAGATGCTTACGCAGAGGAATTAATCAAAGTAAATCCACTAATAATTCCCACATTTCATGTCTCTTCCCCTTACATTTGGTGTATATAATTATACACTGGTTTGCCAAGATGTATTACAGGTATGCCAAGATATTGATTCCCTCAGCCCTTGCAGCCAGGTGAGCCTCGAATACTGGCAGCAGAATGAAGCACCCTCCTCCTTCATTCATCTCAGGTGTGATCAAAGCTTACCTACCGCCAGGCTCAACTCCTGTGCTCAAAGGACCCTCCTGCCTCAGCCTCCTGATTAGCTGGACTATGACTAAGGTGCACGCTATCATGCCCAGCTAATTTTATTTTATTTTTTTTTTTGTAGAGACAGGGTCTTGCTATGTTGCCTAAGGCTGGTCTTAAACTCCTGGCCTAGAGCAATCCTCCTGCCCCAGCCTCTCAAGGTGCTGGGATTACAGGGTGTAAGCCACCGCACCTGGCCAGTAAATAATTTTCTAAGTGTGTAATCACATGAAAAGGTACATGGAGGTAGGCCAAGGTGGATATCCAGGCCTGCATGACTCAGCGAGTTTGGCGTGCAGGCGCACACCCCCACTTGTTATATAACCTGTTTGTGTAAGTACATCCTTGGCTCTGAGCCACTGTTGTCTGTAAAAGGTATAATTGCCCTGCTACCGTTGTACAGGCGCTCTTGGGGCGCAGCCTGGCTCAACATGGCTCTTGTGCAGGCACTGGTGCCCAGAGAAAGAGAGACAGCCAAAGCTGTCCGTCTGGACAGGAGGGAGCCAGGACACAGCTCGGCTTGCACATGCCCAGATAAAGGGTTAAGCTGCTGACCCTGAAGGCAGGGGAGAGCCTTCTGGGAAGCCGCAGGCATGGGGGTCGCGGGAGCCACACAGCCGGAGCAAACCGCCGAGATAAAGGTGGACAGTGTAAGAAAAGCTGTTCATAAGAGAGCTAGTGTAAGAAAGCTGTTAATTTGAGCTGCTGCTGAATAAAACTATCTTTCACCTGCCTACAGCCCCCCAGGTGTTCTTTCTGCTCATCCACCCACGCCCCTCGGACTTCAGCATGGGCTGGACCCAGACCCCGGGATCTGACAAAAAGGACAGGAATCCCTGCACTATGGAATAATGTATATTTATAGAAGAAAATCACTATGGTTTAAAGTCATTAGTAAGGAAAACAAACTACATTCTGTAAAAGGCCTGGCTTCCTATCCTGTACTGAAAACAATGCAGTGTTCAGCCTCAGTTGCAAACTAAACAAAATTCACATTTTCTTTTTTCTTTTCCTTTTTCTTTTCTTTTCTTTTTTTTTTTTTTTTTTTTTTTTGAGATGGAGTCTCACTCTGTCACCCAGGCTGAAGTGCAGTGCCATGATCTCGTCTCACTGCAACCTCCGCCTCCTGGGTTCAAGCAATTCTCCCGCCTCAGCCCCCCAAGTAGCTGGGATTACAGGCGCCAACTACCACGCCCAGCTAATTTTTGTATTTTTAGTAGAGATGGGATTTCACCATGTTGGCCAGGCTGCTCTTGAACTCCTGACCTCAGGTGATCTGCCAGTCTCGGCCTCCCAAAGTGCTGGGATTACAGGCATGAGCCACTGCACCTGGCCTTCTTTTTTCTTTTTTGAAACAGGGTCTCCCTCTGTCACTTAGGCTGGAGCACAGTGGCACTATCTTGGCTTACTGCAGCCTCAACTTCCTAAGCTCATGCAATCCCCTTGCCTCAGCCTCCGGAGTAGCTGGGACTACCAGAGAGTACCACCATGCCCTGCTAATGTTTGCATTTTTTTTGTAGAGACGGGGTTTTGCCATGTTGCCCAGGCTGTTCTCAAACTCCTGGGCTCAAGTGATCCACCTGCCTTGGCCTCCCAAAATGTTAGGATTACAGGTGTGAGCCACTGTGCCCAGCCAATTCACATTTTCTATATGGTCTAGCTTTAGGATCCAAACTCTGCACAGCTGAATAAGAATTCCAAGATAATGACAGTAACAATCCCAACAAATTGAATACTTAATTATATATCAGGTATCTCAAATGCTTATGTATATTATTACATACAATTGTTGTTAAGATTTACTGGGATAGATTTTAAGAATTACATAGATAAGAAAACTGAGTATTATGGAAGTTAAACAAAGGTCCACAATCTATTGGGGGATTTCAGATTTCAGAAATTTTTGTATTTTAGAAAGTGAATTATGGTGCATATATATTTTTTAACACCTCTAGAGAGGGGCCTATAGCAGCATCACCTAATCCAACACATAATTTTTAATGCAACATACATGAATATTTACACTAAATGGAATGAACAAAATATAAATAGCCTCTCATCTATTCAGGTCACATGTTTGTCACCAAATAAGTTACGGAAAGACTAACAATTTCTAAAGCTTTTTGGGTTTCTAAATTACAGATGCAGGGCTGAGGCAGCTAAGTTTTGCTCAAGGTCATCCAGGAAGTTTGTATAAGATGGTATTTACCATGAGCTTTGGTATTTCCCAGACCTAAGTTTAAATCCTAACTTTCATCATTTATTATTGTAATAGGTGAGTTCCTTGAACTTGTATCTCTGTAAGAACCGACTTCACAGGGCTGTTCTGAAGATTAAAAGAGGTAAGGAATATCCATGTACTTAGAGGACCTGGCTCATAGTAAACATTACATAAATGTTGTTGTTAATAATACAACTTCAAAGAGGAGTGGGTTTCAAACCCACATTTCCCCACCTCTAAAACCTATGTACCTATGCCAAGGATTTGAGGCGAAGCATTGGGAGTAAGGGGTTCCACAAACCTGCAGAATGGCTTCAAAATGTACATGACATGTATTCCACCACCACTATGAAGCAGTAAACTAAAACTTCGAAGGTAAATGTAAATACACAACTGTCCAAATGTTTCACTATATTATTCCCACTCACAAAATCATATAGTGATATTTACAAAATTAGATAAAATATACAGAAACAAGAGGTCTTTATTTCTTTGTCACTGACTCCATACTATTTGCAAATAAGCAGTATCTTTCCAAGATGTTTAATTAAAAATAACAATTTTGAAATGTTTATGTATATGTGACTTAAAATGGCTTTTTTTTTGGTAAGTTTCCTTAACACTTTTAACTTCCTGGTCTTTTAGCGAAAGTTCAGTGTCATATTAAAAATAGGAGGTTAATACTAATGGAATAATAATCCAGAATTGAATTCTGATATAGTATCAGCAGGTTGCAATTTTAAATACATCTTCATAGAAAAGATGGAAATTACTAAAAAGTAGAAGAAAAAAAAAATCATCCATAATTCTGTTACCCAAAGATGGCCCATTAACACTGGTAACACTTGGTGTACATCTTAAATCCGTTTTTTAAAACCCTGCTATGATTACATTTTATTTACAATTTTGTGCCCTGACTTATAGTTCACTATCAATTCCTTTTCAAAGAGGTGGAGTCTCACTATGTTGCCCATGCTGGCCTTGAACTCCTGGGCTCAAGTGATTCTCCCACCTCACCTCTCAAGTAGGTGGAATTAGAGACGGGTACCACCATGCCTGGCTCCTACTATCAACATTTTAGCTCCTAAAACCACACCCAGCATTGAAGTCATTAGCTGTTTCAGTTTTTTTTTGTAGCCAGAAGGCTAAGGTGGGAGGATTGCTTGAGCCCAAGAGGCTGAGGTTGCTGTGAGCCGAGATTACACCACTGCACTCCAGCCTGGGTGACAGGGCCAGACCTTGTCACACAAAAAAAATTTATTTTATTGAAGTGTAGTTGGAATATATTAATTTTAAAGCACAAACAACAGCATATTCAAATTACTGGGGGCAATTAAAAATACCATTTTAAGCTCAAACTGATCATCACTTAGGCAAAGAATTCAATTAATTTGTCGACTCCTATTTTAATGCTTTGACCATTAAATATTTACAATTTCACCATTTAATTTATAAATATGGATCACACACACACACACACACACACACACACACACCACTTTTCTTTTTCTTCCTGCCTGCAATGAGAATCTGCCCTGACCCCCAACCCCTGAAGAAGCAATTTTCCATTCCATGTGATCCTGTTCTCTTTTCCAGTTGGCTCCATTATTCATTTACTTATTCATTCAATAAATATTTATTGCACAACTATTCTGCCAGGCATAGTGTTCTCTGGGAACATTCAGTCTAATGAGAGACTTGAAGTTGACTGTGAGCCAGTCAGATGAATATTGTGATCCCCGTAGAGGAGAAGCATCCACAAAGGCCTTGAAGCCGGAAAGGGCTTAACACAATCGAGGAAATGAATGAAGGCCAATGAGAAGGAAGTGGCATGGGCTGAGGCTGAAAAACTGTTGGAACACTCACTACATGCCAGGCACTATTCTAAGTGCCTTACAGGTATTAACTCATTTAATTCTCACAACAAACCTAGGAGTGAGTTAGTACTATTATCACCTGTTTTACAGATCAGGCAGCTGAAGCCCAGAGCAACTGAATAATTTGCCCAAAACCACACTGCTCGTTAGTGTTAGAACAACATGTTCTAAGGAACCTCGAGGCATGATAAAAGGAGTAACAAAAAATATAATAACATAACTTGAACCTCTTTTTTTTTCCTTGTATGAATGTAATACAAAGAAAAACATAATAGCTAATTCATGCAAGGGTCAATGTATTCTGTTGTAACAGAAGGCAAAGAAATATCTGCTCCACTGAACACACAAGCCTGTCACCTCCTACCTTCTTATTTACAACTCTCTTTGCCTAGGACATGAATCATAGTAATATTCCACTACTCATGATTACAAGTAAGGCCTTGTGCTGTATGAGAGAAAACAGTTTAACCATTTTTTAAAATCCCAAGCAATTTGAAAATCATAAAAAATACGAAGAGGCAAATATTCATAAAAAGTGAAAAAAGAATTACTGTCAATTCTTTCAGCTACCAAAGCTAAATTTTTAACTATGTCAAAGAATTCAATTAAGTTTTAAAAAACATTTACTGAATGCAAATTTACTGAATGCAATATAAAGATGAATGAATATATACTCCTTGTCCTCAGTGATCTCACAGTCTAATGGGGTGAGCAGACACGTATACAGGCAATTATATGTAATAAAAGGAATGTTAACTAGAGGAGGGAAAACAGATGGGCAGGAAACAGAGATGTTACAACTGAGGTGTATTAAAAGATTCATATGAATTTGCAAGGCTGATCAATTTGAAAAAAGAATTATACGCAAAGAGAATAACATATGCAAAGTTATGAAAGAACATATTATGTTCATTATGGCTAAAGTACAGGCTATATAATGTATATTTCCTGAGTGCTGGTAATGAGGTGGCAAATTGCTGTGAATGTCATGCTAAGGAGTTCAGACTTTATCCTAAGTAATGGGAAACCACTGAAGGATTTTGTAAAGGAATATGGTACAAGAGACTTGTTTTTTTGAACAATTACTCTAACAGTAATATAGAAGGTAGATGAGACAGGGAAATCAATTAGAAGCCTATTGTAGTTTTCAGGTAAATGATGATGAAAACTTATACTAGACTGTAGCGGTAGGGATAAAAAGGGGGAAACAGCTTTAACTGATATTTAAAAGCGAAAACCGAAAGACTTGGTAACTTATTTGGTATCAGGAGAGAGGGAAGAAAACTGTAACTCTCAAATTTATTACTTCAGCCACTGGGTGGGGAAGGAGAACCTGAGTTTTTCTTAAAGGTCTTTTAAGTATATAATAAAATGAAGTCCTGCCTGAAGGCAAAAAGGTATGAGCTTGTCACCTTCTGTGTAGCACCATCCCACTCAGGGATCTAGAACACTGCCTATTGTCTATCACATCAAGTCTAAATTCCTATTTATGGACAACAGAAAAATCCCTCCATTTCCTTGCCTGCCCCTTTCATTCTAATTACCACCCCTTACCCTCAAGCTCTGATATTAGATATAGGTTGAGTATCCCTTATCCAAAATGCTTAGGATCAGAAGTGTTTCAGATTTCGATATTTTAAAGGATTTTAGAATATCTGCATTATACTGACTGGTTGAGCATTCCAAATCTGAAATGTGAAACGCTCTTTTGAGCATCATGTCAGTGCTCAAAAGTTGCAGATTTTGGAGCATTTCAGATACCAGATTTTCAAATTAGGGATACTCAAACTTACATGTACAAAAACTGTCTTAAAAAAGACAAGCCAACCTAATCAATTTCCTTATTTACAACACTCAAAGACTGGAGAAATTATTCACAATCAGAGCTCAGCACCAGAATCACCTGTGGAGCTTTTAAAACTATCAAAACCTGGGTCTCACAGCTAGAGATTCTGATTCTGCAGGGCCTAAGCATCTGTAGTTTTAAAAGCTTCCACATAAATCATGCTGCTATAAAGACACATGCACACATATGTTTACTGTGGCACTATTCACAATAGCAAAGACTTGGAACCAAGCCAAATGTCCAACAATGATAGACTGCATTAAGAAAATGTGGCACATATACACCACGGAATACTATGCAGCCATAAAAAATGATGAGTTCATGTCCTTTGTAGGGACATGGATGAAGCTGGAAACCATCATTCTCAGCAAACTATTGCAAGGACAAAAAACCAAACACTGCATGTTCTCACTCATAGGTGGGAATTGAACAATGAGAACACAGGGACACAGGAAAGGGAACATCACACACTGGGGCCTGTTGTGGGGGGCAGGGGGAAGGGATAGCATTAGGAGATATACCTAATGTTAAATGACGAGTTAATGGGTGCAGCACACCAACATGGCACATGTATAAATATGTAACTAACCTGCATGTTGTGCACATGTACCCTAAAACTTAAAGTATAATTTAAAAAAAAAAAGCTTCCCAGGTGGCACTGATACAACCCCCAGCTGAAAACAGGTTATGGAGATAGATGAATTTTCAATTAGTCAGTTGTTCATTTTGAAAGGAGAGTAAACTAGCAGTTAAAGTCAGATTTGATTTCATCTCTTATTTCATAACATTTTGAAAGTCAAAGTTGAATAAAACTAAATAATATGATAGCATGGAAAGAATATGATACACTGAAGCTGCAGTTCAGGTCTGAGTTCCTCCACTAAAAAGCTCTGTAACCTTGGGCAAAGTACCTGACCTTTCCTCTAAATCTTAATTTCTCAGTGTATAAAATGAAAAGGCTATAATAAGATAAGCTGTTTGATTCTTCACCTTCAAAGTTAGCCCTAATTTAAAAGGGATGGCTGCACTAAATGCTTTGTGTTAAAAAAAAGAAAAAAGACAAAGTATTTTGAAGCACTTTTAAAAGATGGAACATGCTGGGGGTGTGGTGGCACACCTGTAGTCCTACTTGGGAGGCTGAGGCGGGAGGATCACTTGAGCCTGGGAGGCAGAGTCTGCAGTGAGCCGAGATCACGCCACTGCACTCCAGTCTGGGCGAAAGAGTGAGACCCCGCCTCACTGTGTGTTGTGGGGGAGAGATGGAACAACTAATTTACCCCTTTTTTCGTGTCCTTTTTATGTTAATGCAAGGTGATCATTGAAGCAGCACAGAGTTAAAAAAAACAAAGTCAGAGACAGAGACCCAGTTAACTCTCAGAGCAACATCACAGGTCCACTTTTTAGAACAAAGGCCAGATGTATTTGTCTGAAATCAAGTAAAACTGTGGCACGTAGTTACACTTTACCATTACTGGCCAACCACTAATGCTCGGACTCATGGGAGTTCAATGCATGTGTGTAGTTAGTTGTTTAACAAACACTGTAACATCAGTAAGTTTATGCAAAAAGTGCTAAATAAAAACATACGCTTCATGTTAAAGAGATGCGTCTTGCCAGGAAGAGCCAGTTTTTTTTAGAATATAGATTCTATTAACATTGTCAACTGTAAATTTGCATCATGAACTGAACTCACAGAAGCAAGTATTTGTGGAGAACTTACAAAGTAATGTAAAATTCAAATACTTTTTAAAATACTTCCTAATTTTTTTTTTGTATTTTTAGTAGAGATGAGGTTTTGCTGTGTTGGCCAGGCTGGTCTCCAACTCCAGGCCTCAAGTGATCCGCCTGCCTCGGCCTCCCAAACTGCTGGGATTACAGGTGTGAGCCACCGCGCCCAGCCTCAATAGCTGCTATGAAACATTTAGTATTCTTACCTAGCACTGACCTAGATAGTTTGAAGTACAAACTACAATAGGTCAGATCCCTGCTAATGAGGCCCTAAAGTTAGAAAAACAAAACATACATGGAACAATCCATGACTAAGACAACTAACTGCAGTCAGGTGTTCTAGTGACCAGCATAGAAATTAAAATAAGACATAATAACTTAATATCTATACAAAGCAGAAGTCAGACAAAGAGTAACAGCCTCAAAGCAGGTCGAAGTCTTGAAAGATACATAAGAAATGAAGAAGTAGAGAAGAATTAAAAATGAAATGGTAAATTATAGAACCCGTGCTACAGACCAAATGTTTGTGTCTCCCCACCAAATTCAGATATTGGAATCCCAACCCTTAATATGATAGAGACAGGAGGGAATTTCCTTCCTCTCTCTCTGTTCTCCAAGTGAGGACACAGTAAGACGACAGCCATCTGCAAACCAGGAGGGCCCTTACCCTAATGCAACCATGCTGGCGCCCTGATCAACTCCCCAGCCTCTAGAACTGTGAGAAATAAATTTCTATCATTTAAGCCACTCAATCTATGGTAATTTGTTATGATAGCTCAAACTAAGACAACCTTAACACTTTTGTGATATTTATTATTACACCTCCTTGCTCCCACTAGAGTGTTCTTCAGTTGGAGACGATGGTTTCCCCACGATTTATTAACTTTCATATCCAGCAACCCAAGCAAATAGACAATTAATAAACATTTGCCATTTTATTTTATTTATTTATTTTGAGATGGAGTTTCACTCTTGTTGCCCAGGCTGGAGTGCAGTGGCGCCATCTCGGCTCACTGCAACCTCTGCCTCCCGGGTTCAAGGCATTCTCCTGCCTCAGCCTCCCAAGTAGCTGGGATTACAGGTGCCCGCCACCACACCCGGCTAATTTATATATTTGTAGTAGAGATGGGGTTTCACCATGTTGGCCAGGCTGGTCTCAAACTCCTGACCTCAGGTGATCCACCTGCCTTGGCCTCCCAAAGTGCTAGGATTACAGGTGTGAGCCACCGTGCCCAGCCAACATTTGCCATTTTTAATGAAAGTGCACTTGATATTTGACACAGGATGGTTTACTCTTTCACGAACAGTGAAACAGTGAGAGGGGGCTGGATGTGGTGGCTCACACTTGTAATTCCAGCACTTTGGGAGGCAGAGGCAGGAGGATCACCTGAGCCCAGGAGTTCGAGAACAGTGTGGTGAACAGAGCAAGACTTCACCTCTACAAAAAATAAAAAAATTAGCTCCGCATGGTGACACTTGCCTGTGGTCCCAGCTACTTGGGAGGCTGAGGTGAGAGGATCGTCTGAGCCTGGGAGGTAGAGGCTGCATGCAGTGAGCTATGATTGCTCTACTGCACTCCAGCCTGGGTGACAAAGCAAAACTCAGTCTTCAAAGAGAAAATAAACTTTTAAAATTGTCTAGTAAAACACACACACACAAGCCCCCAAAATAAAATAAAATGAAACAAAAATAGTGAGAAGTACTTTTTCAAATAACTAGTAAAATACTGTATCAGCTCAATGTTGCCCTCTGGTTACAAATCTACATTTTGCAAATAAGCACTACGACGAGCTTCACAGCCTGTCTCTGACTTACTGCTAGCCTCACCTCCTTTCTTGGCCCTGTTAGTTCTATACCCTGGCTACACCAAACTTCTGCCTGCTCTTTAAACCCACAAGGCCTAGAAAGTTCTTCACCCACTCTGTACCACATACTCCTGTTCATCTTCTAAAACCCATCATCATTCCTGTGACGTTTTCAGGGGGAGTTAACCCTTGTCTGTGGCTCTCACAGCACTGTGTTCCTACTTCCATTAAGCTCAACAGATTATATTATAACCAACGGTTTCCCTCCAGAAATCAAGGTACCTAAGGCAGGGGGTCATTCATTTTGATAGTGGCACCTAGCAACATATCTTGTACACAAGAACTAAATAGTTGTTGAATGCAAAAGAGAACAAACATAGCAAACATTGCTCAAGCATTCTCCAGTGGAAATGCAGGTGTGTAGGCATACACAATCAAAATGAACTCATAAATCCGACAGATTAAATGGTGATTATGGCTCTGCAAAAGTATTCATTTTTATCAGAAATATCTGCAATAATGTCCCCTTTAAAACGAACTCTTAGTAAGTATAAAATTCTCCAACTTAGAAATTTTTAATTTTTATTGGGGGTCTTGCTATTTGCCCAAGCTGGACTCGAATTCCTGGGCTCAACAGATCCTCCTGCCCCAGCCTCCAGAGAAACTGGGACTACAGGAATGCAACACTGCTTGGCTAAATTAGAAATTTTTGTTACATGACTTTTCAGAACCATTTTATTACAAAGCTAGACATAGTTCTGACAATAAAACTATCATGAAATCCAAATAAGACAGCCGAAATTTTAAAATGTAAAAAAGCAACCATTAGTAATTCAATATCAAAATCACCCATGAATCTCTGAAATTTGATTTCAGATCTCTAACTTTTCTAAAGCAACTGTTTTTTTTCTCTTCCCCAGTATTTGTGCTCATCTTTTGTGCAAGTCACTTTGCAAACTGACTCATTATTTCTCAACCTAATCATTTACGGAAGGTTTCAATTATTAAAAAATCACTAAAAAGTTAAAATTAAGGAAGTTGTGTTATCATCAATTATGTCAAATTGTGAGTAGGATACACATCCTAAAGAGTATAGATCTGACTTTACTTGTACAAACTCTGCCAAATTAAATATAAGCTGTATATATTAATAGAAATTGGGAAACCATGAATTTAAAATTCTAAGAAAAAAATCTTTCCTCATTTTATTATTGTTAATATCAACATTATTTATAGATGCTTATGGAGAGCCCACTATTTGCCAGACACTTTACACAAATTCTCCCTGATCCATCCAAAAATCCTTAGGAAAAAACTGAACCTCAGAGGTTAAATAGTCGAGGCTATTACACAGGTACTAAGTAATGGCCCTGGAATTCAAATCCATGTCTGTCTGGCTCCAAAGGTTAAAAATTCATTCCAATGCTAACAATACGTAATACTAAAATAGGACACCAAATCTCTACAACTCTCCTTGCTTATTTTTTAATTATTATTATTATTTTTTTTTTGAGACAGAGTCTCACTCTGTCGCCCAGACTGGAGTGCAGTGGTGCGATCTTGGCTCACTGCAACCTCCGACTCCCGGGTTCAAGCGATTCTTGTGCCTCAGTCTCCCGAGTAGCTGGGACTACAGGCACCCACCACCATGCCTGGCTAATTTTTTGTATTTTTAGTAGAGACGGGGTTTCATCATGTTGCCCAGGGTGGTATCGAACTCCTGAGCTCGGGCAATCCGCCTGCCTTTGCCTCCCAAAGTGCTCCCAGCCTCCTTGCTTCTTTAAACTGCTGAAGGATAAATGAATGGTCCAGTGAATATGTGTCTCTTATCACCTTCCCAGCACTGAAATAATTATTCTTTGAGGCAGTATTAAGCCTTTATGCCTGAAGCTTAGGCTTTGCGATGTCTATGCTTACTGAAATCTACTTTGACACTTCTATAGTTAAACTGTTTTGAATAGTATACAACAGTAATATCCTTCTACTGGAGTCTAGGTGATCACTTCTCCAGAGGGATTTCAGTACTACAAGCTACATAAAATTAGCAGCTACTTTCCCCTCAGTGCTACTTAGAGGTAACCTCTAGGGGAAGGTTAAAAAGCCAAGGGAAGGCAGGGCACAGTGGCTCATGCCTATAATCCAACACTTTGGGAGGCCAAGGTGAATGGATTGCCTGAGCCCAGGAGTTCAAGACCAACCTGGACAACACAGTGAAATCCCATCTCTACAAAAAAAATGCAAAAATTAGCTGGGCATGGTGCCATGCGCCTGTAGTCCCAGCTATTCAGGAGGCTGAGGTGGGAGGGTCACTTGAACGCAGGAGGCCAAGGCTGCAGTGAGCCATGATCATACCACTGCACTCCAGCCTGGACAACAAAGCAAGACCCTGACTCGAAGAAAAAAAAAAAAAAGCCAAAGGAAGCATATATTTGGGTATTAAATGCTCAGAAGCTAGCCTATAAAAAAAATCAAGCAATGGATTAAAAAGAGGCTCTCTATTTGATTAAATAACGGTGATAACATCAATTTCAAGTATGAATTCCATGTTGGTGAGGGAAAATGAATTTCAATTCAATAAAAATTCTTTTCTAGCAGCTCCGCAAAATTTCACGGCTCATCTGTATTCAAAATCTTCTTCACTGATGGTACTTGTTTAGAAAGCACCAAGAAACAACGGTAATATAGAATTCTTCAAGTATACTTGTTTGGACAGTTGTATGTGGCTACTTATCCTGGCATCAAAGTAATCAGCACTAAAGATCAAAGGCTTCTGTGTGAATCCAGAATGCAACCCTGTTTGGATTCTAAGTCACGGAACCACAGAAAGAATCCCATAAATCAACTTCCACTGAATTTATGCCTATCATTTCCTTCTGGGCAAATTCATTCTAATAGATACTGGCAAAATAAGAAAGTCAAAACGGGTTGTATTTATTGTTAGTTATTAAATCTTTAAGCAGCAACAGCCATAAAGCTGTAGCTAATTCAGCCATGTTGCTGGTTCAAAAGAAAACTTAATTATCTTAAGCCAACAGCATTTCTAAAATCAATTGTGTAGGAAAGAGATTAACTGCTATTCTGATGTTGCTCTTAAAGCCAGAACTAGAAAATCCAGATAAATTATAATAATGGAAATAATTGTAAAGAAGAGAAGAGCTTACCAGCTACTTTTTGTCTTTTACTCATCTCACAACCAAGTTTTTTTCTTTCACTTTCCATTCATCCTCTTGTGTGAAAACTCTTTTATCATAATATGAAGGAAAAGCTGTGAGCAGTTTAGAGAACAGCTGCATGTATTCACAGAATCACAGTAACTTGGGCTGAAAGGAGGTTCCAAAGGCCATGGAATTTAACTACCTATTCAAGGAGTATATTTTTTTTGCCTATCTTCACTAAGTGGCCGATGGATGGAATGTTTTCTACCTACTGAAGTAGCTCATTGCATCTTATGATGGCTCTCTCACAAAGTTCCCCTTGGGAGGGCTGGACATGGTGGCTCACAACTGTAATCCCAGCACTTCGGGAGGCCGAGGCGGGTGGATCACCTGAGGTTAGGAGTTCGAGACCAGCCTGGCCAACATGGCAAAACCTTGTCTCTACTAAATATACAAAAATTAGCCAGGCGGTAGTGGTGCATGCCTGTAATCCTGGCTACTCGGGAAGAATAACTTGAGCCTGGGAGGCGGAGGTTGCAGTGAGCCAAGATCGCTCCACTGCACTCCAGCCTGGGCAACAGAGTGAGACTTTAAAAAAAAAAAAAAAAAAGTTCTCAGTAAACCAAAGTCTGTCTCTGTCTTACTATTGTCGCTACCTTGTTGTATCTCTAAGAGTCATTAAAAACAAATGTAAGCCCTCTTCCATATGAAAACTTTTATTTTTTCTATTTTTCTTTACTTCTTTTTCCTTTTTTCACTGTTTCTGTAGACACTGACATATGAAGTCCTTTCTAAAGAACATGACCCCCTTCTCCAGCTAACTTTATTCCTTTGAATGTTCCTAGTATGAAATGCTATTGAGTCCCCTGTGTTGGGTAAGGCACAAAAAATTTAATTTAAATGCATACCTATAATTATTTTAATTTTAAAAATTACTGTTTCAAACTTTGAGTTACCTAAACATATTGGCTACCAACTTCAAATCAGATGAGGTGTTGCTCAAGCATGGCAAAATCTTCCTTATAAATGTACATACTTACATGAAAACTCTCTAAATTCAGACTCGAGTATTTTTAATATTATTTAAATACAGGTTTAGCATTACTAATCTGAAAATCTAAAATCTGAAATGCTTGAAAATCCAAAACTTTTTGAACACTGATATGACACACAAATGGAAAATTTACACTTGATCTCATGTGATGGAGCACGGTCAAAATTTTCATGCACACAATTACTGAAAGTATTGTGTAAAATTACCTTTAGGCTATGTGTATAAAGTGTATATGAAACATAAATGAATCTCCTGTTTAGACTTGGGTCCCCTCCCCAAGATATCTCATTATATATTAATATGCAAATATTCCAAAATCTGAAAAAATCTAAAGTCTGAAACACTTCTGGTCCCAAGCATTTTGGAAAAAGAATACTCAAGCTATAATTAATTGCCCTTAGTTCTACCTAATGCATAACAGTCAAATGTTCACACAAAATGTTATGTGTTAACTAAAAATTTCAATAAACATTTAAAATACCTTTCTATAAAGTTTTGCTCTGCAGTTTATTTAAAGAGGATGAATTATAAATTCTCAAATTATACAGATAATTATTATTCTCTTCATAGCTGACAACTTTCACCCAAAGTCAAAAAAAGAAAAACAAAGTCAAAAACTCTGAAGTTTCAAGGCATTTTAGGAATATGATTTTAGCAAGGTCCTGAGATGAACTGAATAATCCTATTTCAAGACCTTTACTTTTAAAGTCAGTAGAAGCTACCTATGACATTTCATACATACTTAGATTATTCAGCAGTTCACAAAATACTCAGTTGAGTACTTGCCACAAAGAGTATTTTGAAAGGTTAACATCATCTAAATTACAATGACAAAATCATTAAATATTCACACACACTTACCCAAGACTCATGGTATAACACTGTTAGTAGATACACTGCATAATCGTAATTCTGCCTCCTTAAAGGGCACCTATTAAAGAGAAAGCGGGAGAAGTCAAAATTCTAAAAACTCAGTACACAGAAAAATTTGCAAAATATGCAATATACTAAATACAGAAGATAATGTTTTCAGGTATTCCTTTTCTGCTTTAGGAAAACTGTTTTTGGAATAAAAATAGTCTTTGTAGTTCATTACTTGAGGAAGCTAAACACCGGTGTTATTTTAACTTAATTTCGAGTATCTCTTTGTTTTCATTACTAATGGAGTTATCTGTATGTAACAATAGCTTACGCTACTTTTACTAGGATTGTGTCCAATATAAGTTCCCTTCACCATCTCAGTGCTAAGAATCTGCCAGATAGCATGAACATATCTGATGAGTTCATCTAAAAAGTAGACATAGAGCTAGGCATGTACCTCATGCCTGTAATCCCGGAGGGTGAGGTGGGAGGGTTGCTTGAGGCTAGAAGTTTGAGGCCAGCCTGGTCAACACAGCAAAAACCCTGTTTCTACAAAAATTAAAAAATTAGCCAGGCATGGTGATGCGCACCTGTAGTCCTAGCTACTTGGGAAACTGAGGCAGGAGACTGCATAAGCCCAGGAGTTCAAGGCTTCAGTGAGCTATGACTGTGCCACTGACCTCCAGCCTGGGTGACAGAGTGAGACTCAATCTCTAAAAAAATTTAAAAATAAAAATAAGAAGTAGATATAGAAAGATGATAGATGTTAATCTTGGTTTTCCTAGAGCTGATTCTTTTAAAAATGAGTTACACTATACAATGCTGTGCTGTTGCTGCTGTATTTAAAATGGAACTAATAACTTAAAATTAGGTAAAACTTCTACATACATGAGATGACACATTGAGCTTTAAGGATAATAAAATAATATACAGAAAGATACGATTACTTCCAATTTCTTTAAATATCAAATAAAACCATCATATGACAAATAACTTCAACTATACTGCTTATTCTGTACTTATATTTATTTAAGTCCTCTACTCTAAATAGTTACCATAAAACATATCCATACACTAACACTTGTAAAACTACCTAAAAAAAAAAAAAGCAACATTATTGGATACTCACAGAATTTCAAACAATAACATTTTAAAGGCATTTTTTAAAGTTGCATGAACTAGAAAAGCCAACATTATCTGAAGATAGTAAAAAGACTATTCCTAATATATTTCAAATCTACTTTCTCCCATATGGTAATAATCACAAACCATGGTCCTGAGCTTTTTCTGCCTCCACACTGTTGCAATCTCTGCATGTGTGTCAGGCTCCTTCTTCCCACCACTGCAAATCATGAGACCTAATCGATACTGACACCTCCAAATGCTTTCAAACAGGGATGAGCAGGAAGACAGCAGATCGGCCCACTTAACTTATCTCTAAAAGTGGGTCTTTTTATATTTTGACATAATTTGGAAACAGCTAAAGTATAATTCTAAAAATAAAATAGCCATTTAGTGAAAACATACCAATAACCTTTCTTTACTTCAAATAAAAAATGACGCAATTTATAAATTCATATATGATAAATTTAATATTGCCTTTATAAACATCTGTCCTGGCTCTGAGATTTTGATTATTTACGAATGTGCCTTCATCAATTTCCAAATAGATCCATAGATCATTTAATAATTTTACTTTTGAACTACAAGATTTTTATATGCTTTGAATGTGTAAAAGCCTGCTTAAGCATTAATCACTAGCAAACCACACTTTTTTCTTCTAATCTCTCTCTTGAGTTTTATATACATGGAAATATTAAAATCAAGGTTAAAAATAACATTAAATTAGCTAAGCATGCCGCTGCATAAAGATCACAGCAATAGTAGGCCAGTGTGAGGATATTAAAAATATGAATTAGAGAACTCTGCTTAATAAGAAAAGGCTACGCCCTCCCCCATCTTCAATATAGTTTCTTTAAAAAGGACTGCCAAGGAATTGGAGGACAATGAGGAAACACACGTGACCAGTCGGCTGAACATTTTTTCCATTACCTATCTGTTTTGATGGTAAGCACATCTGTGGTCTTGCAGTATCGCTCTCCTACAAGTTTAATTAATTTCTTCTTTGCGTGATCATCTAAATTCAAACTGGAAAGCTTTACCTTAAAAATAAGAAAAGTTATTTGAAAAAATAATTTCATATAATTGTTTAGTGAAAAAAAGGTAGCAATGTTATTCCTATTAACATTAAATCCACTAAAAAGAAAGCTTTCCAAACTCCTTTCTATACAGAGCAAGCAGTTGGGACATATTATAAACCCTGATCTTACTCATGGAAACAGAAAAAGGGAAGGCAACATACTGTTTGAAGTTCTTTGAAAGTTCTGGGCATTAATGCCTTCCCTGAAAGAACTAACGACATATCTGTTAAATAAATGAAATTATGGTGCTTACGAGTAGCACTAATAGAATTAAACTCAATTAGCGTTAGTTAAGTTGGAATATAGAAATAAATAGATAAAACATAAGGGCTTTAAGAAATTTCTATCATGCAATTATGAGACTTGCATCATTACAAGTTCTACCATGCAATTATGAGACTTGTATCACTGCAACAAGCTTTTTTTAAAAGCTACAGATATCTCATGGAAGCTGGAATACAGCATCAGGGAAGGATCAAAACAATTGAAAAATTCATTTAGCTCAACGTTTCTCAAAATGTTAACACTACTCCCACAGGCTAAGAAGAATTTTTTTAAAAGGCTCTTTCTGTTGAAAATGTTTAGGAAATGCCGAGGTAAATTGGGTTTTTTAAGGTAGCATTTTTTAGAACAGATAATATGCTAATAAGCATCTTGAAATTTCAAAATGCAGGGTTAATATGCAATGATTCTCAAATTTATTTGACGTCAGATTCCACTTTTCAAGGAACGGTTCACAACAGTAGTCTTCCTTAGACATATTTTGGGAAGTGCTAGAACAAATGAACACAATTTTTAATTTGCAGAGAATAAGGGCATGGGCTAAAGGTATTATCTAGAGATGAATACATTTGATACAAGAAGATAGGCCAGGCACGGTGGCTCATGCCTGTAATGCCATTACTTTGGGAGGCCGAGGCGGGCGGATCACCTGAGGTCAGGAGTTCAAGACCAGCCTGACCAACACGGAGATACCCATCTCTACTAAAAATACAAAATTAGCCAGGTGTGGTGGCGCATACCTGTAATCCCAGCTACTCAGGAGGCTGAGGCAAGAGAATCACTTGAACCCAGGAGGCGGAGGTTTTGGTGAGCTGAAATCGCGCCATTGCACTCCAGCCTGGGCAACAAGAGCAAAACTCTGCCTCAAAAAAAAAAAAAAAAAGAAGATAGGTTAGGTTACACACCAGAATACAGTTAAATAAGGTAAAGTATAGGTTAATCTTCTATGGAGAGCATTAAGAATAAAAAAGAGCTGTAACTATATCAAGAAGAAAAAAAGCTAAATAGGATTTTGAAATCTATTTGGTTTTCTGTAGCTTCAATAACTCTGTACACTTCCCTCAAGACATCACAGTATAGTAGCCTATTTATTTTCCCATTTTTTCCCCACTGATTTGAAACCCTTGAGGGTAAGAATGATGCTATCTCGTTCTTGGCAATGGCTTAACACTTAAAATGCATGCAACAAATATTTGCTGAATGAATACATAAATTTTTAAAAGGGAGGATATATTGTTTTTTAAAGCACTGTGAATTTTTGTATTTTGTATTTGAAGTAGAGAAAATAGATAAATATAAATGCACTCTTAAAAACAACTCAAGTAATATGAATACTGACTATTAACTCTCAATTAGACAATGTGAATCACCACAGTTTTCTGGAAAGAGAATGTATCAACTACCAGGTTACTGACTTGACAGATAAAATAAGCCATTTTATACTCTGATTAAAACCAATATGAAGAATTTTTTACAAAAAATAAAATATACCTTTATTATGATTATGAATACACAAATATATGCACATATGCATGTATAAGAGGGAACAGGGAGAGAAAAATAAATAGTTTTTACATTAGGATAGTGAGAATGTTGTGATTTTGCCTTTTTTAAACCTCCCTTCAATGAAATCATAATAATGTCTAACAATAAATTTAAAAGTTTCAAAAGCTTAAAGTATTCTAGCTTTTTATATAAGAAGTGGTCCAAAAAAAGGCAGCAAAGCTGATCATTACTGCAACGTGTAATGTAAGATCACATTCACATTAATTTAAAACTCACATTAACATTAACATTTTAATGTTCAATAACTATATGGAGTTTATGCCAAAAATCATAAATATTTCAGGAACAGTTGTGTGGTGCACTCACGCCACCTGGTAGCACTCAAAGGCACTGCAACATTGTAGTCTTTAATCTGGGCTAATACTTTAACCTGGGCTGAGTGGCATTCACTGTCTTTTATCAAAATTCAAAGTACTTAGATATTTTGCCCTCAGTTGCTACATTTCAAAGAATCGATATAATACTGTTAACATTATCCCCAAAATAACACTGATATTTCAAATCACAGGAGGTGCTGGATATATATATATATATATATATATATATATATATATATATATATATATATATATCTTCAAATGACTACATTTTAACACAAAAAGAGCTACATAAATTCGGAAATGTCTAAACTTGTGAAATATTTTCTCTATATGCAAGTATGATGTGGTTAGTTAAAGAATGCTGGTATTACATAAAAGACAAGAATTGGTTTGATTTGTAGATTTGCCATTTAATGTTACCTTAAATCATGTTACCTCCCTGAGACTCAGTTTCCTCAAGAACACTTAATTCCAGAATTTTTGTCAGAAATAAATGAGATTAATAGAATAAAGCACTTTTGAAGTAAAGTTATATATAAGTTGTTTTTAATCCTAAACTTTTATGACTATCAAAATTTTTTTTTCTGTGCATTAAAACATTTGAGTATGTCCAATAGTAGTTTCTAACAGTTGACTACCTTCACGATATTGCTTTAATCATGCTGGACTGCATGTGCTTTAGTCCACCTGTTTGACCTACGTTTACCCTTGAACTACATGGCACATCCAGGACACCACCACTGAGCCTCAACAGCCAGCAGGTGGGGTGCAGAGTCTAGCAGGGCAGACATGAAGTCAGCAGAAGGGGTACAAGGGAGCAATGAAGGCATCACAGGCTAGCACAAGGCACAGAGAGGACAAGAGGAAAAGCATGATACAAGAAATGAAATCTGGTGCCATCCTTCAAATAAAGCAATGAGATTATTTTTGTGTGAAATAAAATAAGCAAACTTAGAACCAGTAGGGACATTGGATGTCAATTCTAGGACTGAAGACGGAGGCCCACAAAACTTGAGGTGAATAACGTAAATTAAGATCTAGGTTTTCTGACTCTCAGTTCAGAGATTTTTCAACACACAACAGAGCTCAACAACTGTTGGTTGTAGTTGTTACCATTATTATGAAAAATAGGTAACATTTAATATGTTCTTAAAAATATGAACCTGTGGAATGGTACAAGCATGGCTGAACTTTCAATTCTTTTTTTTCTTTTATTGGGATTTTTGAAATTTTATACAGTAAACATATACTGTCTTTGTGATTTAAAAACAGCTTCAATCTAAGAACTTAGTATATTGTTGTGTATTTAAACTGTTCTACAAAATAAAAAAGATTGGAAAGCTTCATAATTCACTTCATAAAGATGGCACAGGCCAGGTGCGGTGGCTCACACCTGTAATCCCAGCACTTTGGGAGGCCAAGGAGGGAGGAACGCTTGAGGTCAGGTGTTCAAGACCAGCCTGGCCAACATGGTGAAACCCCATCTCTACTAAAAATACAAAAATTAGCTGGGTGTGGTGGAGCATTCCTATAATTCCAACTACTTGGGAGGCTGAAGCAGGAGAATCGCTTGAACCATGGAGGCAGAGGTTGCAGTAAGCCAAGATCGCGCCACTGGACTCCAGCCTGGGCAACAGAGCGAGACCCTGTCTCAAAAAAATAAAGTTATATTAAATTAAGAAAAAAATTGGTACAGCCCTGATACTGAAACCTAGCAAAGAAAGAAAACTACAAATCAATCAACAATATCACTGAGGAAAATGGAAAATTCCAGAAATTAAAGATTGTTTATTTGCTAGTACATAATGCGAAAATGGTTGCATAGATTTTCAACACATTTCTTCAGTGTACTTTGAATGTTCTGGCTTAAAGTACAGGCTACACAGAGTATAAAAGTTAATATTTTGAGGGTCCCAGGAGGCACCTCAAAGAGGTAGTAGTCACCCTCCAGACAAATCAAAAGCACATCAGTAAGGGCTCCTTGGAGAAATGCTGATTCTAGGAATGGGACAGGGAAAGAGCCCAGAGCATTTTGTAGTGCCAGAAAATAAGAAATTGCTTAAAAACAAATGACAGGGGCATGGCAAAGGAACAGAAGAGTCACTGGAAAGAGTTCCCAATGGTTAAACTCAGAACAATTTGAGCAAAAAAATAATGTTTTATTGGATTATGACACATAGTGTAAAATAAATATCCATGAGTCCATACTGATATAAATAAATGATTAATAAATAGGGGAGAATGAACAAATTTGCCATATAAAAGGACTGTACATAATTTATGTGATACTTCTTTCTCAAAGAAGTGGAGCATACCTCCTGATCCTTAAGTGTGGGCTCTGCATAGTAACTTTCTTCTAAAGAGTAGAGTATGGGTAAGAGGGGAGGAAGTATAATTTTATGGTGAAGAAAATGGACAAGTACTACCTCAGCCAGGTGATGAAGATTAGCATCATCACTGACAAATCATGGCCGGCACAGTGGCTCACTGCCTGTAATCCCAGCACTTTAGGAGGCTGAGGTGAGAGTATCACTTGAGCCCAGGAGTTCCAGACCAGCCCTGGCAACATGGCAAAACCCCCTGGCAACATGGCAAAACCTCATCTCTACAAAAAATACGAAAACTAGCTAGCCGTGGTGGCTTGCGCTTGTAGTCCCAGCTACTGGGGAAACAAAGGTGGGAGGATCACCAGAGCCTGGGAAGGTCGAGGCTGCAGTGAGCCGTGCTTGTGCCACTGCACTCCAGCGTAAGTGACAGAATGAGACACTATCTCAAAAAAACAAACAAAACAAATCATCTTAATAGCCTATACTCTCGATATGATGTGATGAGAATGGCACTTTATTTCTGGGGTTTTTCTCCCCAAACACACAACAAGTTGAAAGACATTCTACCAAATATACAACTAGTACTTCTCAAAACTGTTAAGGTCATCAAAAACAAGTCAAGTCTGAGAAACATCACACCCAAGATAAACCTAAGAAATTATGATGACTAAATGTGATTTGTAAACTGGATGGGATTCTGGAACAGAAAAAGGGTATTAGAAAAAAACTAAGATAATCTGAACAAAGTAGGGACTTTAATAACAATAAATTCAATATTGATTCAGTATCAATATTAATTCACTAGTTGTGACAAACGTACCATAGTATATTTTAAGATGTTTACAACAGGGGAACCTGGGTCTGAAATTCTCTACTATTCTTGGAACCTTTCTGTAAACTAAAAACTATTCTAAAATAAAAAGTTTAATTTTAAAAAGTATATCAGGTAACTGCTCCATGACTGCTGTGTGAAAAAGATATGCCATGTGTACCAAGATTTCTTTGACAAAGGAAACAAACAGTGACTTCAAATACTAAATTAGAAGTTCCTAGGGCAGACACTTGGAAGTGCAATGGCACGTGGCGTGGTCCAGGTGAGTAACAGTAGGGATCTCATGTTTCTCCAAAGCAATATGGCATCCGGACAAATGACCCTAAGTAAAATTCTAGCACAGCAAATCAGCAGTAGAATAAAAGAATGATACACTATGAACTGACCAGGGTTCAGAAATGCATCAGTATATTGAAAACCTATTGATGTAATTTATGACTTCAATAATTCAAAGGAGGTAATTTCATAAATGCTAGTAATCTAAGAATAGGATACACCATTAACATAATAAACACTATTATCTCACTGAAATCCTACCTCATACTTGAGGTTAAACACTAGAGGCACAGACAATTAAAGTATGCAACAGCATAAGGAACTACAGAAATATGACTTCAGAAATTTTATCTAATGCAAAAGACAAAAAGAAAAAACAAGCTATGGTTACTTGAAAAGGGGAATTAAAACTACCATTATTTATCTATTATGTCTTGAGAAATTTCCGAAAGAATCAGCTGAGAAGTCCTAGCATCCAGATCATGGTCTGTAAACACCACTGTCCACTGGCAGGTATTAGGGCTCCTTGAAAAATGGCTGATTCCAGGTCCGGGATAAGAAATTTATAAAAATGAGCCTGAACCATCTTGTGTCAAAATACAAGGAAACTTTCAAATGCTAAAGGATTGTAACAAAAGGACACAGGAACCAACTTAAAAGAGTTCCCACTGGCCAAAGGTAAGATAGATATACTTCGAGGACCAAAAAGAATAATGATTTTACTTGATATCCACCCACAGATTACTTGTTCAAGGGAAAAGCAAAACAAAAATCTTCACAAAGGAATGATTAGGTTGTCAGCTTCTTAGCCAAGTGCTCAATTTCAGCATACTGAGAATGAGGCCACCAGACTTTACGTGCCCCTGATGCAATATAAAATACATAGCAATATCTATAAAGTATTCTTGCCAAACATATTTAACTGGAATCTTATCAGCCCTTTAAATCTAACTTCCAGGTTATGTGAAATACAGGAGATAAAGAAATAAGGTAAATGACATCCAGATGCAATGGGGCAAATTCAGAAGATAGGAAATGTTACAAGATAAATACCCTGTCTCTTTAACAAGTCAAATTCATCAGGAAGAAGGGAGGGAGGTGGGGTTGTTTGCCATTCCAGATAACATAAGATACATCATTACCAAATACAATGGTCTTTGGCGGGATTCTGGTTTCAATAACAGAGCTTAAAAAATACCATTTTGTAAGGCAATAGGGGAAATATAATGTGGAGTAGATATTTTAGATGATATTTGGGAATTACTGACAATTTTGTTACATGTGGTAATAGTATTGGAATTAAATAGGAAACATCTCCTTAATTCTTAGAGATAACACACTGAAGTATTTTAGTGTGAAACATTAGGTGTCAGAAATGTTAAGGTACTTAGATGTGTATGTATGTGTATGAAGCAAATTTGTCAAAATATTAATTACTAAATCAAGATGCCATGTGTATGGGTATTTATTATATTAGCCTCTTTCTACTTGTCCATACATTTGAAAATTTTCATAATAAAAAATTTAAAAAAGAGAATTTGGTAAAGTAGCCAAATGAAAAGTTAAAAGATAACTATATGACTTTTGACAAGGATGTCAAGACCATTCAATGGGAAAGAATAGTCTTTTCAAAAATGGTATTGGATCAACATGCAAACGGAATGCAAAAGAATGAAGCTGGACCCCAGCTTCACACCATATCCAGTTAGCCCTTTGTCTCCACGGGCTCCACATTTGTGGATTCAACTAACCGTGGATTGGAACGTGGATTGAAAATATTCAGAAAAAATAACAATATAACAATTTTTAAACTGCATATTCTTAAAATACAGTATAACAACTATTTACGTTGTATTAGGCATTATAAGTAATCTAGAAATGACAAAGTATATAGGAGGATGTACTAGGTTATATTCAATATTCAAATACTATGCCATTTTATATCAGGGACTTAGGCATCCACAGATCTATGAATTTACAAGCGTTCCTGGAACCAATCCCAAACAGATACTGAGGAACAACTGTATGATAATTAACAAACAATAGGTCATAGATCTAAATGTAAGAGCTAAAACTATAAAACTTTTAGGAGGAAACACAAGAGTGAATCTTTTATGACCTTGAATAAGACAATGATTTCTTACATATGACACCAAAAGCACAAGAAACAAAAGGAAAAATACTGTCATACGCCACTTAACAATATTTTTTGACAAAGACATGGCTAGGTGATTTTGTCATGTACAAACATCATTATGTATTTACACAATCCTAGGTGGTACAGCCTACTACACACCTAGACTACATGGTATAGTCAATTGCTCCTTGGCTACAAACCTGTGTAGCATGTTACTGTTAAATACTGTAACAACTGTAACAAAATTGTACTTGTGTATTTAAACATATCTAAACATAGAAAAAGTGCAGTGAAAATACAGTATTATAATCTCTTGGGACCACTGTTGTGTATGTGTTTATCACTGACCACAACATCATTATGCAGCACATGACTTACATAAATTGGACTTCATCAAAATTAAAACTTCTGTGCTTAAAAGGCTCACGCCTCTAATCCCAGCATTTTGGGAGGCTGAGGCAGGCAGATCACAAGGTCAGGAGATCGAGACCATCCTGGCTAACACGGTGAAAACCCCATCTCTACTAAAAATACAAAAAATTAGCCAGGCGTGGTGGCGGGTGCCTGTAGTTCTAGCTACTCGGGAGGCTGAGGCAGGAGAATGCTGTGAACCCAGGAGGCGGAGCTTGCAGTGAGCTGAGATCGAGCCACTGCACTCCAGCCTGGGTGACAGAGTGAGACTCCGTCTCAAAAAAAAAAAAAAAAAAGGACATCATCAAGAAAGTAAGAGGACAACCCAAAGAATGGAAGAAAATGTTTACAAATCATATATCTGAGAAGGGACTGGGACTGGTGTCCAGAATATATAAAATACACTTATAACTCAACAATCGAAAGATAAACAACCCAATTAAAAAACAGGCAAAGGATATGAACAGACATTTCTCCAAACATATACAAATAGTCAACAAGCACATGAAAAGATGGTTATTAGGGAGACACAAATCAAAACTACAATGATACTTTCATACCTATCAGAATGGCTAAAACTAAAGGACAGGTAATAACCATTAGTGAGGATGTGGAGAAATAGAAAGCCTCAAACTTGCTGGTGAAATTGTAAAATAGTGAAGCCACTTTGAAATTGTTTTTCAAAAACAGTTTGGCAGTTCCTCAAAATGTTAAATATGGAGGTGCCATGCAACTCAGTCATTCCACTGCTAGGTATATACCCAAGAGAATGGAAAACACATATCTACACAAAAACCTGTATGTGAATGTTCAACAGCATTATTCATCCAAAAAGTAGACACAACCCAAATGTCCACCAATTAATGAATGGATAAATAAAATGTGGTATATTCATAAAATAAAATATTTGGCAATAAAAAGAAATGATAAAATAATACATGCTACAACAGATGAAACCTATTGAAAACATTACACTAAGTGAAAGAAAACATATTGCATGGTTCCATTTCTGTAACACATCAAGAATAGGTAAATCCAGAGACAAAAAGTAGATTAGTGGCTAAAAGGGGCTTGAGGATGGTTAAGGGGGGAATTCTATAGCAAGTGAACTATGTCTCAATAAAGCCATTATTAAAAAGAAACAACGGCCCTGTAGTGGTGGCTCACATCTGTAATCCCAGCACTTTGGGAGCCCAAGGCAGGCAGATCGCCTGAGTCCAGGAATTTGAGACCAGCCTGGGCATCATGGCAAAACCCTGTCTCTACAAAAATTCAAAAAAATTGGCCAGGCATGGTGGCACACTCCTGCAGTTCCAGCTACTGCTCAGGAGGCTGAGATGGGAGAATCACTTGAGCCCGGATGGAAGAGACTGCAGTGAGCCAAGATCGCGCCACTGCACTTCAGCCTGGGTGACAGGGTAAGACCCTGTCTCAAAAAAAAAAAAAAAAAAAAAAAAAGGTATACAAGGAATCAATACACCACCAAAATGAGCAAATGACAAAAAATACATGTTTTGCAAAGGAATAAATCCTCAACCTCACTAGTATTCAAAGACATACAAATTTTAAATATAAGACAAATTTTTTACCTATCAAGTTGACAGGTAATATGTAGGTTGGTGAGAGCACAGGAAAGCAGGCCTTCTCACATTCTGCTGGGATTATATTTTTTTACATTTCCTGCAGGAATTTTATAATATATATCAACAAACTTCAAGAGCTATATCCTTTGACCTCATAGTTCTCCTTTCAGGAAGTTATCTTAGGAACATCATTAGAAATACATACAAATATTAATACCTAAGAATATTCATTAAAATATTTTTCTAATAAAGAAAACCATTAAAAAGCCTAAAGGTTCCATAATACAGATAAATTATGGTAGCCCTGTATTATGAAATTATTTATATATCACACTTCAGTCTCAGAAAAAAGGCTAAGTTTGAAGTGATCAACATTACACCCCCAGATTCAAACACTGTCTTGGTACATAACAATCTCTCATTTATACGTTATTCTATGCAGCCATTAAAATTAAATTAGATTGGGTGCAGTGGCTCACACCTGTAATTCCAGTGCTTTGGGAGGCGGAAGTGGGAAGATCACTTGAGCCAGGAGTTCAAGAAAAGCTGGGCAACAAAGTGAGATCCTGTATCTACAAAAAATTTAAGAAAATGGGCTGGGCAGTGTCTCACACCTGTAGTCCCAGCCACTTTGGAGGCTGAGGCAGGACAATCAATTGAACCCAGAAATTGGAGGCCACATTGAGCTATGTTAGTGCCACTACTCTCTGCCTGTCAGATCTCATCTCAAAAAAATTCAAATTAAATTAAAGAATGTTTAATATTATTGGGAAATGTTTAATTCTTGTTAAGAGACTGCTGAACACATACAGTATCATCCCATTAATATACACAAAGGCAGGCTGTGACTATATACTAAAATGAGCTACTATAGTTAACAGTGGTTACAAATAGTAGATTTACGGGCAATTTTGTAATTTTTTTTTTTTCCGAGATGGAATCTCGCTCTGTCACCCAGGTTGGAGTGCAGTGGAGCGATCTCAGCTCACTGCAACCTCTGCCTCCCGGGTTCAAGCAATTCTCCTGCCTCAGCCTCCGGAGTAGATGGGATTACAGGTGCCCACCACCACGCCCAGCTAATTTTTGTATTTTTAGTAGAGACGGGGTTTCACCATGTTGGCCAGGCTGGTCTTGAACTCCTGACCTCAGGTGATCCGCCTGACTCGGCCTCCCAAAGTGCTGGGATTACAGGCAGGAGCCACCATGCCTGGTGTATAATTTGAAACTTGTATTTTCCAAAATTTCTGTGAAAAATATTACAGTTTTATAATCACACATATCAATTTCTTTCTTTATTTTTAGAGATAGGTTCTTGCTATGTTGCCCAGGCTGGCGTCAAATTCCTGGGCTCAAGCAATTCTCCCACCTTGGCCTCCCAAAGTGCTGGGATTACAGGCATGAGCCACTGTGCCAGCCACCAAAGACATCTTTAAATAATGTATTAGAATGATTCTTATTTAAAAAAAAAAAATGAAAAAAACTCTTACTCTTAAGACTACTACTCGTGCTCTGGGGTTCCGAACAGATGGTCCTGATGAAACATAATCAGTGCTGTCAATTTCAATTGGAAAATGCTTCTCACATTTCTCGTCACTGTCCAGTGCGGCTGGCCACTCAGTGCAAAAATCTGAGAATAAAAGAAATAATTTCAATTACACTTTTGCAAGTAAATTCTCATTGTAATGCATACTACTAGACAATACCAAATTACTGAGAGCATCACCAAGTTACATGAAAGAACAGATTCTCTTCTGCACTTTACATATATAGCATCATCCCTTATCCCTTTTCCTATCAGGTACATCCTAAATTAGGCAATTTAATTAGGGAATTCTTTGGATATTTCAGGTTTGGTGGTAATGGTATTTTCAGTTAAAAGGGAACTGTGCCTTGATGGAAGCTTATTATAAGCTTTGCACATATCTGTTACTGGACAGTTTACTTCCTCTGTACCAACTAAAAGCAAACAGTTCATAGTGCCCACAGCATTACTGTTTTCAAAAAAGTAACAGATAGTATTAATTACTAAAGGTTACTAAAGATCAGCTGAAAGGAATTGAAAGCTCTCAAAAAGCCCTAAGAAGAAACTGAGATGGAGTCAACAGTCGTCTAGAAATTTGGCTGAATAGAACCTCAACTCAAACAGGTACAAATGCCTAAGCCCTTAAATGGATTCTTATAAGAACTGATATTTTTTCTATGTGACTTCTATGTGCCAATGGGGTTAAATGGAAAGAAGAAAGCCTTGTCCTCATATTTGGGCAAGAGAGCATAGAGAGGAAGTGGGATTGGGTCTGAGACCTAGGCCACAACAGGAGCTCCAAGCACTGTGAACATGCCTCTCTATCTTCATAACACAGAAGCATAAACTCAGGCCCCTAATGGGAAAAAAAAAAAAACTTAAAGGAAAAGAGGTAGCTCCCAGCTTCCCCCAGGTATCAGAGCTGATTTCATCTTGTCCTGTTTCAATCAAGTTAGCATGGCAGAGAACTTTCAGCTTGAGATGAAAACTTCTGGCACTATAAGGCTGTCCACAATGGAAATCTCATTTCTTAAACAGCCTCACTCTAAGAACAGCTAAAAGTAACTGGTTTCTTGGGTCAAACATATTAGACTGCACAGATCCATGCTTCCTCCAAAAAAGCACAACTGCAGAAAAGGCTGGTCATAATCACAGGCAGATGTGGGAGCTCTTCTAGGTGACAGTCTAAGGGGCAGTGAGAACTATTTTGCCAATAACATTTCCTTGGGCTAACGATTTTCTTATAATAGGAACAATATTTTGCTCTCATTTAGGCTTTAAAATCAGAGTCTGCAAAATGTCACTCTGGATTACAAAGACTCTCTGATATCTGGGACTAAACATGTTAACAAATTAAACATAGTTCACTCCATTCCTTGAACACTGTTTAAAAAATCAATACCCGGTCGTTTTGAGGGGAAAGAAGTATCTTTGCAATTAACATCATTGTAACATTGAAAAAATATGAACAGAGCAAGATTGTTGAGGCTGAATTTCATTCCCATCATGAACTTACTCCAATATCCTGCACTATAAGATGCATCACTTCCAAGCACTTTATAAGAGAGACTAGTTTGGGGAATTTTGTGAGCTCTTGGGTTTGCACTGACTCTTTTTTCTTTTACTTAAAAAAAAAAATGTGAATAAGTCATTTCAATCATCAAATGATAATTACAGTTTTAAAATTAAATTACCTAAATTATATGTCTAAAAAAAGACAGCCAAATGGAAAACACATAATAGACTCCTATTAGCCTTTACTCATCTGATAGGTAGAGCAATAGATGAGACTTTGGAAGACCTTAGTTTGTATTTAACTTCTGCCACTGATTATTAAAGTTTTGGTAAATTACCTAACTTTCCCATGCTTCAGATTTTCCATTTGCAAGTTAGATATAAAATCTGAACTGACCTACTTTGAAAGAAAACTGAGAAGAAGTACTTGAAAAGCCTTTGAGTTATACGGAAGACGCAATCTGAATCCGGAGGCCAGCAGCAAGTGTAAAGGGATAATTAAGGAAAGATTAAGACACTCATTTAAATACTATAAAATATAATGCCACTCTTCCGAATGTGCTGTATAAAAGCCTTTCATTTAATTTTTTTAAACTTTTTTATTTTTATGTTTTTTTGCGACAGGGTCTCACTCTGTCGTCCACCTCAGCCTACAGAGTAGCTGGGACCACAGGCATGCGCCATCACACCCCAGCTAATTTTTTAATATTTTTGTAGAGACATGATCTCACTATGTTGCTCAGGATGGTCTCAAACTCCTGGGATCAAGCAATCCTTTTTCCTTGGCCTCTCAAAGTGCTGTACTGTGGAATTAAAAGCATGAGCTACCACGCCCTGTCACATTTAAAAAGAAGAAACATGGAATTTTTCACAGTGCAATGCCATTTGTTAACTGTCTTTACAGATGATCAAATACTAATACATGATTTGTGGCAAACGGGACAAAAACTTGTTATTTTATTTTATTTTTTTTTATTGTTTGAGACAGGATCTCACTTTGTTACCCCGGCTGGAGTGCAATGGCGTGATCTGAGCTCACTGCCGCCTCAATCTCCTGGGTTCCAATCCTCCTGCCTCAGGCCCCCGAGTAGCCGGGACTACAGGCACATGCCACCACACCCGGCTAATTTTTTGTGTTTTTTGTAGAGATGGGGTTTCACCACATTGCTCAGGCTGGTCTTGAACTCCTGAGCTCAAGCAATCCACCCACCTCAGACTCCCAAAGTGCGAGCATTACAGGTGTGAGGCACCATGCCCAGCCTGGGACACAAATTTGGAAGTGATCAGTTTTAATCTAATTCCAGGCACAAATGCATAGAGAAACACACACTCTAAAGGGATAGAAAAGCATCCCAATGTCCTAAAGTAGAAGACCTATTAAGAGGCAACAGATTTTTCCTCCCTCATTTCAAGAGTAAGGTTATTATTCCTATGTTTTAGGACCTCTTTATATAGTCTTCCTTACATTTTTAAACGGAAGGCCCTTTCAAAAGCTCAAATTTAATCATAATTATGTTTACTATTCCACATCTCCTTCCCAACATAATCAGGATACTTGTGAAGTGTTTCTAGGTTTCATATTCTTTCCTGAAAAGCCTTAGTAAGTATACTGAGCATGTAATATACAACACCTTTAAATCAGCATGAGTATATTAAGACTTTATCCAAAGGTACCAACTCCTAAATAAATCTAATCAATCATAACTATCAATCAGAACTTAAATTGGAATATATACATAATTATAAAAGCATACACAGAACCATGAGTTAAAAAATGTTATTTGCCTTTACCTCCATGCATGTAGAAAGAAGGAGAAGGAGAAGTAGTAGTGTAAGTACATGAAATCTATGTTTATACCTAGAAATCAATAGGTTTTCAAAATCAATAAATCCAGAACTGAAGGTGTAATCATATTCCAGTGATTACTTCTGTTATTTTATAAATACACATACACACTACAGAGAGTATACAAGTATATATAAATATATATACTACAGAGTATTATAAATATAAGCATATATACATAAATAAATGAGGGGCTGGGGATGGTAAAGAAAGCACATAAGGCTAGTGCTTTTTCATCATAAGCTCTTTTACTATTTGATTTACCACATGCATGTGTCACTAATTTTTTAAAATTTTAAATAATTTCTTCAAGATAATTCTTCTCTGTGAAGTATCTGCAACATTTACTTTAGTCTTCTTATATGGAACATGTTTGTTTTCTTTTTTTTTTTTTTTGAGATGGCGTTTCCCTCTTGTTGCCCAGGCTGGAGTGCAATGGCGCGATTTAAACTCACCACAACCTCCACCTCCTGAGTTCAAGCGATTCTCCTGCCTCAGCCTCCAGAGTAGCTGGGATTATAGGTGCCTGCCACCATGCAGGACTAATTTTTTTGTATTTTTAGTAGAGACAGGGTTTCACTATGTTGGCCAGGCTGGTCTCAAAATCCTAACCTCAGGTGGTCTGCCCGCCTCGGCCTTCCAAAGTGCTGGGATTACAAGTATGAGCCACCACACTCAGCCTTATGTGCATGTTTTCTAAAACTCAACAGTAAGTCCCTAACTTACCTGTGAACAAGGATCATGGTTTCTAATTATTATTCCTAATACCTTGTAGTGGTTAGCAAAAACAATTTGCAGACTTGACATGTAACAATTCACTGAAAACAACTTGAATATAAGGCTATACAGTATATCAGAACAGAGATTCTTAAATTTATGTTCAAAGTCAATATAAAATTCATATAAGAAAATAACCACTTACCTTTAAGGGCTTCACAGTGCTTTTTAATTGCTACAGGAGTCAAATGCAGAAAATTGGGAATCTTAAATAGAGAAATTTAAAAGATAAATTAGCTAAATGTCTTAAAAACATGAAAAAGATAATCTTCTCATAAAACTAAATCACAGGCCCAATAAAACATGTAGTAAATAAAATCTGTTTGTTTTTTTTTTTTTTTGAGACAGAGTCTCGCTCTGTCGCCCAGGCCGGACTGCGGACTGCAGTGGCGCAATCTCGGCTCACTGCAAGCTCCGCTTCCCGGGTTCACGCCATTCTCCTGCCTCAGCCTCCCGAGTAGCTGGGACTACAGGCGCCCGCCACCACGCCCGGCTAATTTTTTGTATTTTTAGTAGAGACGGGGTTTCACCTTGTTAGCCAGGATGGTCTCGATCTCCTGACCTCATGATCCACCCGCCTCGGCCTCCCAAAGTGCTGGGATTACAGGCGTGAGCCACCGCGCCCAAAATCTGTTTTTTTACAATATTGATTTTCTGTCACGGATGTTGTCAATTCAAGAAATACACTTCTTAAAATATAGATTCAGCACCAAGTAATTTACAGTGATACCTGGATTTGTCTTCAGATCATATAAATCTTTTGTCTTTTACCAAGCATCTTATAATGACAATCATGATGAA
The DNA here is from genome assembly GCF_000001405.40 of Homo sapiens. Taxonomy (NCBI): domain Eukaryota; kingdom Metazoa; phylum Chordata; class Mammalia; order Primates; family Hominidae; genus Homo; species Homo sapiens. Next base: position 27,719,212 of record NC_000012.12, on the reverse strand, counting down.
AAAAACTAAACATCATTTTTACAGTATTCTTCCTGCCACAAATCTACAGGTATACATGTATATTTCCTTTATAAAACTGAAAGGACTTAAGCACGTGGATTTTTGTTTTGTTTTTTTCTTTTTTCTGAGACAGGGTCTCGCTCTGTCACCCAGGCTGGAGTGCAGTGGCACAATCTCAGCTCACTGCAACCTCTGTCTCCCAGGCTCAAGCAATTCTCCTCCCTCAGCCTCCCAAGTAGCTGGGATTACAGGCATGTGCCACTATGCCCGGCTAATTTTTGTATTTTTAGTAGAGACGGGGTTTCACCATGTTGCCTAGGCTGGTCTCAAACTCCTGGCCTCAGGTGACCTGCCCGCCTTGGTATCCCAAAGTGCTGGGATTATAGGTGTGAGCCGCTGTGCCCGGCCAGGATATGGATCATTGTTTAATCATCCCAATTCCCCTGGGCTGCATAGCATGACAGTATTTCAACTTTGTACATAATAAACATTTTATGAACTAATAAGTGAAGGTAGCAAATCTTAACTGGATAGTTTAATGAAGTTAGGAATATATTTATGATGACACATTAAAAGGCTACTGAATCATTCATAGTGTGAATGAAAATGCAGGAAAGGTCAGAGATTTGATTTCTTCAAATAAATAATTAGCATTTATTAGGTCATTTCTTGAATAATGTTAAACATCTGAAAGAGCTTAAAGGCTCATTTGGAAAGAAAATTTAAACAAGCCGAAAGTTACTCCACGAATTATGCCAAGTATCTTGAGGGCTGATCAGAAAATAATGTTTTTTGTTTTTGAGATGGAGTCTTGCTCTGTCGCAGTGGCACGACCCCGGCTCACTGCAACCTCTGCCCCCTGGGTTCAAGTGATTCTCCTGCCTCAGTCTCCCAAGTAGCTGGGATTACAGGCATGCGCCACTACACTTGGCTAATTTTTTTGTAGTTTTAGTAGAGATGGGGTTTTGCTATGTTGGCCAGGCTGGTCTCCAACTCCTGACTTCAAGTGATCTGCCTGCCTTGGCTTCCCAAAGTGCTGGGATTACGGGTGTGAGCCACCACACCTGGCCAGAAAATATTGTTTTAATCAAGAGAAAATAGGCACTGAAAACTGGGATTTGGGGATGGGCAGCTTCATTTGCTGTACTTTTTGGTTTTTTCCTTTTTATACATTTTAAAAATTATAAACCCTAGTGTTGAGGGGCTACTTTTAACAGATCAGAGTGATAGACTTTTATTTTTGAAACATGAACATATAAAACTCAAATATCATGAAAGGAAAAAACAATAGACAATTTGCATGGACTTACATAGGCACAGTTCTATGCACTTTGCATACATTAGCTCAGTTAATAAGCTTATTCAATGACACCATTACTACAAATAAATGGCATGCATTAAATGTTTGGATTTTTATGTTTATTAAAATGTCATTTACAACCATTAGCATTATTGCAAATATACCGCTACTCTCTCACCCAGTGATTCTCCAAAGACCTCTTTAAACAAAATTATCTTCTTTCATTCAAAGAAAACATTTGTTTTCCTTGATGTATGCTTTCTTGTGTCTTCACATTCCCATTTCCAAATTTCATTTACCCCTGTCTCCAGCAACAGAGTACCCATTCTCCCTGTTCTCATCACCTTTTAGCAAACTTTTGTTTTTCAAAGACTCTCATCTAATGGAAAACAGTTCATTGTCCTTTGTATAACTTTCATTGTATTTAAGAAACCATCTAAGATATGCATTCCCAGACTAAGCATTTATATTTTCTTTAAAACACCCATGATAAATAATTATACATGCTATCAAACAAAGCATTTGCCTTAACCTATTTTGCTTCAAGCAATAAAGTTAAATTTGGTAGACTATAATAATAATACTAAATAATATTCTACCTTTATGGACAGAAAAAATTTAAATTCCTCTTTTTAAACTGGAAGTTTCACCTCCCAATTCTTAATCTCAAATTAGGTTATTTCATTTTTCTTAATTCCACTGGAAAGATGCAATATAGAAAAGATATGATAGGCTGGGTGTGGTGGCTCACACCTGTAATCCCAGCACTTTGGGATGCTGAGGCAGGCATGTCTCTTGAGCCCAGGAGTTCAAGACCAGCTTGGGCAACATACTGACCCCCATCTCCAAAAAGAAGAGATACAACAGAAAAAGGTCACAAGGGAAGCCACAAGATTGACTAATTACTCTTTTTTTTTTTCCTGAGACAGAGTCTCACTCTATCGCCCAGGCTGGAGTGCAGTGGCGCCATCTCGGCTCACTGCAACCTCCGCCTCCTGGGTTCAAGCAATTCTCCTTTCTCAGCCTCCCAAGTAGCTGGGATTACAGGTGCCCACCACCACGTCTGGCTAATTTTTTGTGTGTTTTTAGTAGAGATGGGGTTTCACCATGTTGGCCAGATTGGTCTTGAACTCCTGACCTCAAGTGATCTGCCCACCTCGGCCTCCCAAAGTGCCAGGATTACAGGCGTGAGCCACTGCGCCCAGCCAACTAATTACATTATTAAATGCCTAGGATTCTTTGAGTATTCTTTACCATTGATAATCAAAATACAACACCTATTATTATCTGGTGTTGTATAATAATAAACCTATTATATTATTTTTAACATTTAAATTAAAATACACTAAGCTGCTATACACTGAACGGTGAAGCATAAGAGAGCAGAAATAGGGGGGAAGATCAGCATTTATTTCTATGTAAGTCTGAGCCAATGAATCAGCAATTTGTCTTACCTTTAAAAGTTCTAGATTTCCCTCCTTTGCCATGGGCACGCCCTTTTTTACTGGATAACCCATTCGAACAGGAAGAGGTACTGCAGAGGGTTTAAATGGTGCTGCAACTGGGTAAACACTAGGCCAGTCCTGGTCAACAGCCATTTTCTCTGTCCTAGGAGGTAGTGCCTAAGAAATATAAAATCGTTTAGTATTTTAAATATAAACACATTCTTTAATTCTTAAAGAATTTTAATTTTAAAGCAAAAAGCTACAATTACAAGAAATAGAAGCAAAATTGCAACATATGTAAAATCTGACCTCCCACAATGCTGCTGCTGTCCAAATTTTAAAAACAACACTAAATCTACCTAAATATCTCTGCACTGTTTCTTCAAACCCTCTGGCAAGGATCCCCTTTAATATCACATTTTCTTCACTAAAAATTTCTTTAACTGGACTTTTAGCAAAATTTTTACATTTTGCTTATGAAAGGGTGAATTAACAATACATTTTGAAATAATTTTTCGAACTTCTTTGATGGAAGTCAGTAGTACATGAGGGGGCGTTAAGTACTTGGAAGTAAAAAGAAAAGGAAAAAATAATTAGGGTTAAACTGATTGAATAAATATATAATGAAAAATTATATGTCTCCTAGGCCCAGAGAAAAACTAGTACTTGATAGCTTAGTCAATCACATTAACATTTATTTTTAATGGCATCAAATACGAGGGGATGGCCCACATACAAAAGTAGGGTTTATAGTGGCAAAATTCAGCCATGCCCCGCCTACGCAATATCAAAACCAGTGTAGTCAATATCCTAGAAGCAGGTAATAGTCCTGAGGAAATGACTGCTCTTAATGATTGTAATTTGATACCATTTAACTTCCAACTAATGTGTCTTTGTTCTGACACTATTGCTCACCAACTGACCTTATCGTTTAGATTCCTCCATAGAAGTAAGGAATCCAAATGTCCACAGGGTGAGACTCAACTAGTTAGAATACGGCCAGGTGCCGTGGCTCATGCCTGTAATCCCAGCACTTTGGGAGGCCAGGTGCAGTAGCTCACGCCTGTAATCCCAGCACTGAGGCGGGTGGATCACCTGAGGTCAGGAATTCAAGACCAGCCTGACCAACATGGTGAAAACCTCTCTCTACTAAAAACACAAAAAATTAGCCAGGCATGGAGGTGTGTGCCTGTAGTCCCAGCTACTTGGGAGGCTGAGGCAGGAGAACCACTTGAACCCGGGAGGCAGAGGTACCAGTGAGCCAAGACTGCACCACTGCACTCCAGCTGGGCAACAAGTGGGAAACTCTATCTCAAATAAATAATAATAAATAAATAAACAAACTAGTTATATTAATGCATAAGTCCCAGGCTGCAGGACTTAAGATAGCATTAGAAATTGTTCCATATTCTGGTTTATACACCTGTTTCCTGGGAGTTCCTCAGTAAGTCAACCTCTCAAAGATCATCTATTCTCTGGGTACTGACAAAAAACAAAGACTAACCTCTGCCAGGGCTATGGCAATCACCCAGTAAACATGACCTTGTGAAGTCTTCTCTGGTAACACCCTTCTGCCTTATAATGAATATCTGCCTCATTTTAGAACTCCAGAAACCATTAAGATAGTAGAGTATACGAACTTTTTACCTTTCTTCTTGGTGGCCTTTCATTTCCGGGTGTTCTTTCCGCTGTACGTAAAAGATAACACAGTAGTTAAAGAGAATTTTATCATGTCAAGTTAGTTGTTCAACATCAATCATGATCCCATTATTCTAACACAATTTAAGGTATTTAGTAACATAACAATGAAACAATCTTTTTTTTTTTTTTTTTGGTAAGCTCAGGGACCAAAATCATCTTAATGAAGACTAAAAACTGGAAACAGAGGGAGTCTCGGCGTATCACCCAGATTGGATTGCAGTGGTGTGATCTCGGCTCACTGCAACCTCTACCTCCGGAGTTCAAGTGATTCTCCTGCCTCAGCCTCCCAAGTAGCTGCGACTACCAGTACACCCCACCACACCTGGCTAATTTTTGTATTTTTAGTAGAGATAGAGTTTCACCATGTTGGCCAGGCTGGTCTCAAACTGCTGACCTGAAGTGATCCGCCTGCCTCAGTCTCCCAAAGTGCGGTGGGCAGGTGTGAGCCACTGTGCCTAGCCCCAGTAAGGAAAATTCTACAGTTATTTGAATTGCAGATACAGTGAATTCATTATCTAAAAAATGACTCTTACAGAGTCTGTCAAGTAAGACAACTTTTTAACAAATAATTTCAATAAACAGTGATAAATATTATGAACACATATAGCAGGGAACGAAACCTAGTCAATTAGTTTGTATGACGGTGAATTTTTTCTTTTTTCTCTTTCTTTCTTTTTTTTTTTTTTTTTTTGAGACAAGGTCATCTCACTCTCGCCCAGGCTGGATTGCAGTGGTGCAATCTCGGCTTACTGCAGCCTCGAACTACCAGGTTCAAGCCAATCCTTCTACCTCAGCACCCCAAGTAGCTAGGACTAAAGACATGAGCACACCCGGCTAATTCTTGTAGAGACGGTGTTTCGCCATGTTGCCAGGCTGGTCTCAAGCTCTTGAGCTCCAGCGATCCACCCACCTCAGCCTCCCAAAGTGCTGGGATTACAGGGGTGAGTCACTGTGCCCAGCCATGATAGTTAACTTTGTGTCAATTTGACTGGATTGAGGAATACATAGACATGTGGTAAAGCATTATTTCTGGGCATGTCTGTGGGGATGTTTCCAGGAGAGACAGGCATTTGAGTCAGTGGACTGAGTGAGGAATACCTGCTCTCAATGTGGGTGGGCATCATCCAATCAGCTGAGGGCACAGAAAGAACAAAAAGGCAGATGAAAGAAGAATATATTCTCTCTCTCTCTCTTCTGGACCTGGGACACTCTTCCCCTGCCCTTGGACATCAGAACTCCAGGTGCTCCAGCCTTTGGACTCCAGGAACTTGTACACGCAGCCCCCTGAGTTCTTAGGCCTTCAGCCTTGGCCTGAAAATTACATGGCTTCTGTGGTTCTGAGGTTTCTGAACTTGGACTGACATGGGCTTCCAGCTTGCAGACAGCCTATTGTGGGGTGAGTCAATTCCCCTAAAAAATCCCATCATATGTCTATATATCTACATCTACATCTATCCTATCCTACATCTACGTTCTGTCTCTCTGGAAAACTCTAATCAGTTGGGGAAAATCTCCCTGAGAAAGTGAACTTTAAGCTAAAACCTGAAAGATGAGCAGGACGTAGCCATGAAGACAAGCAGGTGAGAAAAAGTGTTTTGACAGAGTGAGAGCACATGGAAAATCAAAGTGAACAAATTCAATATGGCTGAAATTTAAGAACAGAACAGAGAGAGACAGAGAGAAAAGAGGCTGAAGGCACTTAACAGGCGTCTTAACTATAATGCATCCTTAGCAGAACTTTTTTTCTTTTGAGATAGGGTCTCACTCCCGTCACCCAGGCCGGAGGGCAGTGGTGCGATTACGGCTCACTGTAATCGACTTCCCAGGCTCAGGTGATTCTCCCACTTCAGCCTCTGGAGTAGCTGGAACTACAGGCATGGGCCACCACGTCTGGCTAATTTCTTGTATTTTCAATAGAGACGAGGTTCCGCCATGTTGCCCAGGCTGGTCTCAAACTCCTGGGCTCAAGGGATCCGCAGGCCTCGACCTCCCACAGTGCTGGGATTACAGGAATGAGCCCCCACACTCAGCCCCTTGGCAGGGCTTTTGATTTTCTTCTTCCAGTCTTCCCAATTCGTGTACATGGAATCATCATTCATCCAATTGCTCAGAACAAAAATGTAACAGGATTTTTTTGAGACTTGTCCTCAAGCCCCACATCAAATCCATCAGTAAATCCTATGAACTTTACCTTCAAAATATATCGCAAATACAACCACACCTCCTTCTCCACTATTACTTTAATCCAAGTCACCATCACCTCATTTGGATTACTGCAACAGCCTCCAAACAGATCTTTGGCTTCCACTCTTACCCCAGTAAAGCAGCCAGTGATCTTTTAAAAACGTAAATCACATTATATCAGTTCCCTGTTCCAAGCCTTTCAATATAAAACCCAAGCCAAAAATCCAAATGAAATGTCTACAAACTCTTGAGAGATCAGATTATTACTTAACTAACTCTCTGACGTCTTATACTACCACTCTCTCCTCTACTCACACTTAGCTCCTGCCACATTGTCCTTCTTCCCGTTCCTTGATCACACCCCTCAGATTGTTCTCAACTTTTGGCCTTTGCACTTATAGTTCCCCATACCCCAAAGGCTCTTTCCCCATATCTCTGCATGGCTTGGGGCCCTGTTCAAATGTCACTTCCTCAGAAAGATCTTTCCTGACCATCCTGTGGCCACTACTCCCCCCAAATCCATCATTCTCAATACTCTACTTTATTTTTCTTCAAAGCATTAAACCCTATCTGACATCTTATTTAGTTGTTTGGTTGTTTATACTATTGACTTCCCCACCTTGCCGTATCTCCGGTGAGTGTCTAGAACACTGCATGGTATACAATAGGAGTTAAGTATTCCAAGAATTTAAGAATGAAAATTTAAAAATAGACAATTATTAGACCTATGAAGAGCCAGTATGAAGGATTAATGTATTTATAGTTTATCTGAAAACAATGGGAAACCATTTGTAGATCTTGAACATGAGAGCAGCAAGACAAGATCTAAATTTTGAAAACCTCATTTGGCTGTTTTGAGAATTCAATGTAGGAGAGCAAGAGGGGAAACAGGAAACGGAAAAAAAACTTGTAGAAATGAGATGGTCACCTGAACTAGATAGTTGGTAGTATGAGGAGAGTAAATTAGAGATATAACAGGAAGTAGCACAGGTAGGATCCGCCTATTGATTAGACTCACGCCAGCTCCTCCTCAACGCTCCCGTCATTCTAGCCACACTTCTATCACAGCGCCTCTCACCCTACATAGCACTTCTCCGCTAATAAATCTGTATTTTCCACTAGAGTCCTCCGGGGTAAGCACGCTATCAAGCATCCCTACAATCTCTGTTAAATGGAGGTCATCAACGCCTGTTGAATGAAGGCCGCCCATTTGGTGGCCTGGAATTCAGAGCAGCAATTTGTCCTAGCACAGCCGTATGACTCTCTTAATGTTTGGGGAAATCCATGGTTCAACAGCGCCGATGCCCGATAAACAACACAGCACCAGTAACCTGTGCCAGGGGCTGTGGACGGGGGCAACACAGGAGCAGGTCACGGGGAAGGGGGATGTAAGCTTTCTGAGCAAACTCCCAGAGCACCCAGGGCAGAAACAGGCGGCTAGAAGCCGGGCAACGCGGGTGCAGAGCACAGACCCACGTCCATGGTTTTCCTACCAGACGGGCCTGGCAGCGGACGCACTGGCCTCCCCCGGGCGGCGCTGGCTCAGCCACCGCGGCACCCTTCATGAGGCCGGTATTCCGCTCTTGCACCTCCCCCAAAGCCCAGAGAAGACGAGACAGACACTCACGCAGGCTAGGTGTCGGGACCGGAGTGGCCGAGTAGACGGCAGTGGAGAATGCACGCAGAGTCCTTGCCCTCGACTGCAGAGACAGCCATGCTGGGAGCGCGGCGGCCGCCATGGCTGCGAGGACGGCAAGCCGGAGGGGACAAGCGGCGTTCAGTGTCAGGGGCGGGCCTGGGGCCGCTAAGCGCAGGCTCCCTGGGCTGGCACCGCCCTAGGCTGGAGAAAGAGGAAACACGTTGGTCTGCGCACTCAGAGCCGAGTCAAATGTGCAGGAAGATTCCCCCAAACTGAAAGAAGTAATGAAAAGAAAACAAAAAAAATCCTTAAAAATCGAGTGAATCAGTTCGTAGAGAATTGCAGATAAAGACCGTAGGGATAGGGGTTGCGGCTCACTGAAGGCGGGCGTGCTCTGGGTGGAACCTCAGTTGATCCGAGAGTCAGGCGGTCTACCCGAGGGACTCTTGTTATTTATAATTGTTGCTTTTCTACATTTACTTGGATTAAAGAAGTCTTCAACTAATGCCAGTAATATGCGCTAAGGGGAGAGAAGCAGTATCCCGAGCCAGAGTGCTTGGGTTTCAAACTTGACTTCACCACTTCTGGGATGTATGATCTCAGACAAGTTAGCATAGACAAATATTTGTGTACAGCGTTGGCATACAGTGAACACCGCGTGTACGTAGCCTATAACTTTTAGCTATATATGGTTAGCTTGTTGTTAGATCAGCTTAGAATTACAGAAAGTCAGAACTCATCAGGACCTAGAAAATAAACTTTTAATGAACACTCTTAAATTTTCTACGGTAGGATGAATTAACATACAAGCCTTAATAAAACAATTCTCGGCCGGACGCGGTGGCTCGCGCCTGTAATCCCAGCACTTTGGGATCCCGAGGCGGGTGGATCACCTGAGGTCAGGAGTTTGGGACCAGCCTGACCAACATGGAGAAACCTGGTCTCTACTAAAAATACAAAATTAGCCGGGTGTGGTGGCACATGCCTGTAATCCCAGCTACTCGAGAGAAGAATCGCATGAACCCGGGAGGCAGAGGTTGCGATGAGCCGAGATCGCGCCATTGCACTCCAGCCTGGGCAATAAAAGCAAAACTCCGCCTCAAAAATAAAATAAAATAAAATAAATTCTCTATTTTCTCTTTATTTTAAAAATTATTTTAATTAATTAATTAATTATTATTATTTTTGAGACAGAGTCTTGCTCTGTTGCTAGGCTGGAATGTGGTAGCAGGACCATGGCCCACTGCAGCCTTGACCTCCCAGGCTCAAGTGATCCTCCTACCTCAGCCTTTCAAGTAGCTGAGGCTACAGGCACGCACCACCACACCCAGCTAATTAAAAAAAAAATTGTTTTTCCAGAGATGAGGTCTCACAGTGTTGCCAGGGCTGGTCTCAAACTCTTGGGTTCAAGCGATCCTCCTGCCTTGGCCTCCCAAAAAAGTGATAGGACTACAGGCGTGAGCTACTGCACCTGGCCTATTTTTTCTATTTTTAAGTTTTTTGTAGAGTTGGGGGTCTTGCTATGTTGTCCAGGCTGGTCCCAAACTCTTGGCTTCATGTGATCCTCCTGCCTTGGCCTCCCAAAATGTCGGGATTACAGGCATGGGTCTGGCCTATTTCCCTATTTTGTCTCAAAGTGACAAAATTATAACAGTAAAAACAACTAAAAATAAACAAAACCGATTCTTGGTAAGCATACAACCAGTAGAGCAGAGGTATGCAGGTGTCCAAGAATATTCTAGCTGTGAACATTCAGTGCGCCATGGACATCAATCAGTAAGGTATGGGAGGGGGACAAATAGCATGAGATGGACAAGTATTTGTAATATTCATCATCTTCATCTTTTCTGGACTTTTACCATCCTGTTATTGTTCCAAAATAGAAGCATGATGTATGAGTTTCCTAGGGGATTGGAACAAAGTACCGTAAACTGGGTGACTTAAAACAACAGAAATTTCCTCTCTCACAATCCTGGAGTCTGGAAAGTCCAAAATCCAGGTGTCGGCAGGGTTGGTTCCTTCTGGAGGTTCTGAGGGAGAATCTGTTCCATGCCTCCCTCCTAGCTTCTAATGGTTGCTGGCACTCCTTGGCTGGTAGACACATCACATCACATCACCTTCTGCCCCCATATTCCAATGGAGTTCTCTCCTCTCCTCGGACTATTTTTAAGATCAAAATCATGGCCTTTTTAATCAGATGGAGGTGAGGTTTGAATCCAGGCTCTGGTTCTTTATGATTTTGGGCAAATCTACCTTATCTTTCTGAGTTTCAGTTTCAAGGAAAATGACAGCAATAATATTTTTCTTACGACAGTCGTGATTAAAGGCATAAATATAAACGGTGGGCATTGGCATTAAGTGTAGGGTCAATGCAACAGCCTCCTTTTCTTGCAAGTTTGTATATTTTAGTAAAGTGCAAGTCCTATACCATAGAAATTTAGGGACAAAAGGAGTATGATCATATTCATACTGTTACCAGCGGCAAATCTGTACAGGTCTGCGGCAACCTCAATTCTTGCCTCCTCAGAAGAAAGAATTTGATCGAGGAACATAAGGCAGAAGGAGAGACAGAAGCGACTTTTAGAGCAGGAGTGAAAGTTTATTAAAAAGCTTCACAGCAGGAACAAAAGGAAGGAAATACACTGGGAAGAGGGCCAAGTGGGCGACTTGAAAGTCAAGTACCCCATTTGACCTTTGACTTAGGGTTTTATACGTTGGCATACTTCTGGGGTCTATGTCCCTTCTCCCCTGATTTTTCCCTTGGGGTGGGCTGTCTGCATGCACAGTGGCTTGCCAGGACTTGGGAGGGGAGCATGCATAGTGTGTTTATTGGAGTCGTATACATGCTTACTTGAGGCATTCTTCCATTAGCAGTTGCACGTCCCTAGAAGATCAAATACCAGTTAAATTCTGCCATTTTGCTTCTTAATGTGCACGCTTGCGCACACTCACCCAGCTCCTGAGATCTTACTGGAAAGTTGCTGATCACTAGTTTCAGGTTTTTTGTATCTATTGGGAGAATGCTATTCCCTGGTGCTGGCTGCAACCAATTATTGTTTTAGAAAGACAGTTAATAACCACCTGACCGTCACCTGATGGTCGCCTGAAATTCCTGGGGTGTGCGTGTGTGTGTGTGGAGGGGGGTGTGTGTATAAGGGGAGCCCTCTCCTGCCCTGCTCATTCATGACTAGCTACCTACTCTAACAATATTTCTTAATTTCTGAGCAAGATATTAAAGACATAGGTCCCCATTCTACCTTGCTATGCGTTCTATCTTTTGTTGTACTCTCTCCCTAAGACTAAAGTGGATAGATGACCAGAGCTAGAGGAGCCAGAAAAATACTTATTGTTTTCCGTGGCATCAAGTACAGTAAGTTTCATTCTATAGTAAAAGTTAAAAATTCATTCATAATGCTATTAATGCTATCAACAAGCAAAAATATCTGTCTTGTGCAGTGTAAAGAGTAAAGCATGTACTATCTTGCACATAGGGGTTACTAAGATTACATAATTTTTCACTTGGCAGTGATCTTAGAGGTGCAATCATTCACTCACGATAAAAATATTTTCTTTGCTGGGTGCAGTGGCTCACTCCTGTACTCTCAACATTTTGGGAGGCTGAGATAGGGGAATCACTTGAGCTCAGGAGTTTAAGCCCAGCCTGGGCAACATAGCAAGAGCCTGTCTCTACAAAAAATACAAAAATTAGCCAGGCATGGTGATGTGTGCCTGTAGTCCCAGCTACTGGGGAGGCTGAGGTGGGAGGATCACTTGAGCCCAGGAGGCAGAGGTTGCAGAAAGCCGAGATAGTGCCACTGCACTCCAGCCTGGGCGACAGAGTGAGACCTGTCTCAAACAAACAAAAAAAATATTTTCTTCAAACTTTGTGACCATGTAATCTAACACATCATAGAAGCTAGGCTGGCTTCATAGACATACAACGTGCCTGCGCTTGGCCTAATGCTTTGCTGTTGCTGTCTTAAAATTCTTAATACTTTTTTTAACAAGGAGTCCTGCATCTTCAGTTTGCACTGGAACCTACAAATTATGTAGCTGGTCCTGTGTAGAACAATTTTAAATATTAAGCTGTCTTACAATTGGTTTTTATTATATTTAAACCTGAATTAATTCAATAAAAGCTACTTTTTAATTTTTTATCTTTATGGATACATAGGAAGTATATATATTTATGGGGTATATGATATATATTGATACAGACATAAAATGTATCATAATCACATCAGGGTAAATGGGGTATCCATCACCTCAAGCGTTTATCCTTTGTATTAAAAAGCTACTTTTAATCAAAACTAACTTCTTTTTTTTTTTTTCTCTTTTTTGAGAAGGAGTCTTGCTCTGTCACCCAGGCTGGAGTGCAGTTGCACAATCTCAGCTCACTGCAACCTCCACCTCCGGGGTCCAAGTCGTTCTCCTGCCTCAGCCTCCCAAGTAGCTGAGATTACAGGCATGTGCCACCATGCCCAACTAATTTTTGTGTTTTTGGTAGAGACAGGGTTTCACCATGTTGGCCAGGCTGGTCTTGAACTCCTGACCTCAAGTGATCCGCCCGCCTCGGCCTCCCAAAGTGCTAGGATTATAGGCGGGAACCACCACACCCGGCCTTCAAAACTAACTTGCTTTATAGTAGGTGAACAAAGTATGTCTATTCACAAGTATGGTAGACAATATGCAAATATAAGGAATAGGTATAGAGACCTTGCAACCTAAATGTTCATCAAAACAGTATGGGTTAAATCTATTATGGTGTATTCATATAATGCAGAGTACTACTAATAGAGGCAGGTGGCAGAGAAATCCTAGGCAGACAGAGGTGGGTCTCCGGTGAAACCCGACCTTCAAGCCAAAAACAGTGTGAAGCCCATGGACCAGAGTGAGAACTTCTATTCCTGTTTGCCCACTCTCTCCCTATTGGTTCTTTCTGAATAATGTATTTTAACCAATCAAATGTTGCCTTTTCCAGTATTACCTACAGTCCACCCCACCGCCATCCTGTGCCTGTAAAGACCCCAGACTCAGTTGGTAGAGGTGGGAGATGGCCTGACTTCAGGGAAGAGACCTCCTGACCTCAGGGGAAGATGAACAGCCCTTCCCATCCCATCTCCAGCTCCCCTCTCGGCTGAGAGCTTTTTCATCGCTCAATAAAATTCTCTGCCCTCACTATCGTTCAATTATCAAGGGTGACCTAATTTTTCTTGGATGCTGGACAAGAGCTTGAGATCCAAGTGTGGGTACCCAGAAAGGCTGTCACACTGACCCTTTGCCCTGGTCAGCAGAGGACAGCCACCCCATGTGAGGGGGCCAGGGGCCAACCGGGCTGCTAACATGCTGCCATCCATCGGGCTGTGGATGGCAGAACTAAAAAAGCTCATCAGCACACTACCACCCCCTCTGGGGCTTTGGGGTCTCAGGCATCCTTGCCTGGGTGCCACTGCATTCCCCTCAAGGCGACACCACTGGTCTGGCTGCGGGCTCTGCACAAAGCTTTCTCCTGCGGTGGCGAAGTGGCAGGCTGGACCCTGGACTCACTCACTCATGTGCTCCCTCCCACAAGGGGCTGAGTGTGGTGGGCCTAGTAGACAGAGCGCCCCTGCTGGGAGTCCAGCAAAGGAGCCGAGAAAAATCCTGCATCACTACTTAAGATACCTGGGCCCCAATCCTGGTTAAACATTAGAATAACCTCAGAAGATTTAAAAAAAAAATTATCTGGACTCCCTCTGAGATGCTGATTAATTGGTCTAGATGTGTTTGGAGCACTAGGGTTTTGTTTTGTTTTTTGTTTAAGTTCTTCAAGTGAATCTAATATTGAGGCAAGATGGAAAACCACTGGTGTCAGCCTTAACAAGGATGAGGTGGATATAAATCTATTAGCATAGAAAATTGTCCACAATATATTGTTAAGTTTTTTTAAAATGCAGGTTATAAGGCATTTATGGATTATGTAATCTCATTTGTGTATTATATTTTTATTTTTATTTTTTTGCAATGCAAATTCTGGAAGGGTCAACAGCAAATTTGAGGCAGTGGATATGAGGATAGAGGAGACACTCCTGAAGACTTCACTTTCTCCATTTCTGTACTTGAATTTTTACACCAAGCATACAGCTTGAAAAAATTAAATGAGTATGCAGTATTTTAAAAATCAACAAAAGCTTCACATTTTAATTTTCACTTGAAAAAAAAACATGGTGAGTCTGATTTATGGCTTTCAGCTGTTTATAACATGAATACTTACAATTTATACTAGGTTCTCTGAAATTTTCGTAAGCTTACACTTCAGTATATAAAATATTTTCACAAGCTTTGTCTTCTTTGAGTTACGGTCATGTGCCACATAAAGACGTTTCAGTCAACCACTGTGCATATATGATGGTGGTCCCATAAGACTATAATGGAGCTGAAACACTCCTATTCCCTAGTGACATTGTGGCTATTGTGACATCATAGCACAATTACTTTATTGTTTTATAAATGTATCACAGCCTAAGTGAACAGTGTTTGTGAAGTCTACAGTAGCATACAGTAATGTCCTAGGCCTTCACATTCACTCACCACTCACTGATTCACCCAGAGCAACTTCCAGTCCTGCAAGCCCCATTTGTTGTAAGTGCCCCATATAAGTGTACTATGTTTTACCTTTTATACCTTATTTTTACTGTACCTTTTTTTGTGTTTAGATATGTTTAAATACACAAATATTTACCATTGTGTTCCAGTTGCCTACAGTATTGGTAAAGTAACATGCTGTACAGGCTTGTAGCCTAGGAGCTATGCCACATAGCCTAGGTGTGTAGTTGGCTGTACTGTCTAGGTCTGTGTAAGTACACTTTCTTATGTTCACAAAACAATGAAATTGCCTAACAATGCATTTCTCAGAACATATCCCCATTAAGCAATGCATGATTGTAGTTGAAGTCATTCCCATTTTACAAATAAGGAAGCAAAAAGTTAAGCCACTTGACTCTGCTCT
This sequence comes from Homo sapiens, assembly GCF_000001405.40. Lineage (NCBI taxonomy): Eukaryota > Metazoa > Chordata > Mammalia > Primates > Hominidae > Homo > Homo sapiens. Next base: position 27,703,955 of record NC_000012.12, on the reverse strand, counting down.
TATGAGCATTGAAACTCAAATCCGCATCTGATTCCAAGTTGCATGTTCTTTACATCACCTCCTTCTTGAGAGTGTACTCCACACAGCATTCCTGCAGACAGGGGTCGCTATACACCGAGGAAACATTAATTGACTGAGGACTATAACCTCCCAGAAGCATTGAACATGGGAACCGTTATTACTTAACACTTTAAAAGATGCCACCTGGGCTTATTCATGCCCAGTTTACTGAAGGCAAAGGGCTAAAATGCTTTTTTAATTTAAAAAATTGTATTTGCTTAGAAGTATTCAGAATGTCAACAAAACAGCTGCAACTTCTTTTTTTTCAATTACAGAGTGGTACTCAGCAGAACAACAACTATATCGTATAAGCTGCATCAGAGACAAATGAAGATGAAAAAACTATCCTCCTATATAACTAATCTGTGCTGTGCCCCAACAAAGCCTGCTTTAAATTTCCGTGCCAATTACAACCCCCATTCTGTATCAGGCAAGGTTAGTGTCTATTAAAAATATCACCAGGACAGGGCTATCTTAAGAGACATTTTGTAATCTGTTAATTGTACAAAAAGACACTGTAATGTTTTTTGTTTGTTTCTGTTTTTGTTTTGTTTTGTTGTTGTTGTTGTTTTGAGATGGAGTCTCGCTCTGCCGCCCAGGCTGGAGTGCGGTGGCGCAATCTTGGCTCACTGCAAGCTCTGCCTCCCGGGTTCATGCCATTCTCCTGCCTCAGCCTCCCAAGTAGCTGGGACTACAGGCACCCGCCACCATGCCTGGCTAATTTTTTTGTATTTTTAGTAGAGACGGGGTTTCACCGTGTTAGCCAGGATGGTCTCGATCTCTTGACCTCATGATCCACCCACCTTGGCCTCCCAAAGTCCTGGGATTACAGGTGTGAGCCACCGCGCCCAGCTGACACTGTAATGCTTAAAAACAAATCTTACACAGCCTTACATTTCAATTTTTTTTTCTTTAAAAGGAGTGAGTTGTATACAGGGGTTGTTAAATTCTTTATAGACAAGAGAAAGACTGCTACAACCAACTCGTTTATCATCATCTTCTTCTTCTCCTTCCTCCTCATCCTCCTCTTCTTTTTTTCTTTTTTTTTCAGCCTTGGCAATTCCCTTTGTTGCTGCATGAGGCTTTCCTTTAGCTCAGTCTGCTACAATATCCTTTTCATATTTGTCCTTCAGCTTCGCAGCCTTCTTTTCATAAGGCTGCTTGTCATCTGCAACAGTGTCATTCCACCTCTCTCCCAGTTTCTTTGCAAAATCACCAATGTATAGGCCGGGATATTTTCCTTTGACTCAGGGGCAATACTCAGAACACAAGAAAAAAGCCAAAGGAGGCCTCTTGGGCTTTTTTTTTTTTTTTGCCTCTCTTTCTGGAGGGATATAGGTTTTCATTTCTCTTTCATAATGGGTCTTTTGCCTGAGTTTGCCAAGTCTTCAAATTTTCCTTTATAGCAGACCCGGTCCTTTACCTCTCTGGCACTTTTTGGAACAATCTGAGAAGAGGACAGAAGCATCTGGGTGCTGTTTCTTGTGCTCCTTCTGACAAGTATGCATAAAGAATGCGTATAATGACATTTTTGCCTCTTGGGATCTCCTTTGCCCATGTTGAGTTACTTTTTCCTCAGTGAGGCACCCAGTCATGCAGTGCCCACCTGGCAATCACATACCCTGGCACTGTTTCTCTAAAATGCTTTTCTCCATCTTCTGATTTCTTTGGATAAAGGAAAGTCAAAGACAAATTTATTTCTGTCCTTGCATATATTCTTATTATTCAAGACATTTGGAAATACAGCATCTAATTGTTACATGTTTCAAACCCCACATCCAATCATCAGCAAATGCTGTACACTTTACTTTCAACTACATTCTAAATCTGACCTCTTCATACCTCCTCTTGTACGAGTGTGGTCCAGGCCACCTTTTTCTCTCATCTGGGTGACTACAGCTTCCTAGCTGCTTACCTGGGTTCTGCTTCTCTTCTTTTTCTTCTACCATCAAGTCTCCCCCCAGTAATCAAGTGAGGGTTTGTTTGTTTATTTGAGACAGAGTCTTGCTCTGTCACCCAGGCTGGAGTGCAGAGGCACGATCTCGGCTCACTGCAACCTCCGCCTCCTGGGTTCAAGCGATTCTCCTGCCTCAGTCTCCTGAGTAGCTGAAATTACAAGCATGTGCCATCATGCCAGGCTAATTTTTATGTTTTTAGTAGAGACGGGGTTTCACCATGTTGGCCAGGCTGGTCTTGAATTCCTGGCCTCAAGTGATTCACCCACCTTGGCCTCCCAAAGTGCTGGGATTACAGGTGTGAGCCACCATGCCTGGCTTCAAGTGAGGCTTTTAACGTACAGGTCAGTCAAGACATTTCTCTCCCCCATCACTCAGAATAGTTGAGTCCTTACTTCAGCTTACAAGTTTGACCAGCTTGATGAGTTTGCTGGCTACTTCTGCAAACTCATCTCCCACCTCTCGCCTCCAGCTCACTCTGCTCCGTCCACGTCAGCCTCCTTTGCTATCCACATTCACATCTACTCCCATTCCAGGTCCTTTGCATTTGCAGTTCTTTGTGCCTAGAACACCCTTTCCCAAATGTCTGCACTGATGCTCAGTGTCTTCCTTCAGATTTCTAGCTAATTGCCCCCTCCTCGCTGAGGCCTTCCTTCACCACCCAATATAAAATAGCACCTCCTAACATTCTTTATTCCCTGATCATGCTTTTTCTTTACATTACTCATGATGTAATTTAAAATTGATTATTGTTTGAGACAGGGTCTCACTGTTGCCCAGGCTGGAGTGCAGTGGCTGGTTCTGGGCTCACTGTAACCTCCTCCTCCTGGGCTCAAGCGATCTTCCCACCTCAGCCTCCCAAGTAGCTGGGACTACAGGCACACACCACCACACCAGGCTAATTTTTGTATTTTTAGTAGAGACAGGGTTTCATCATGTTGTCCAGGCTGGTTCCAAATTCCTGAACTCAAGTGATCCGCCGGCCTCAGCCTCCCAAAGTGCTGGGATTACTACAGGCGTGAGATGTTTTGAAAATATGCATTTAAACATCTGCACGTGTTTGTCTGTCTTCCACCATTAAGATATAAACTCCCTGAGACTAGGAACTTTGTTCTTTGTACTGCTAGATTGGCAGGGCACAGAACAAGCCCGACATGTAATAGGCACTCAGCAATTATGTTTGAATGAATCTATCTTCCATTTACACTTTTAAGCCTTTTTTTTTTTTTTGGCAATATATTAACCCAAATTGCAAAAGCTAAGCTTGACTCTATGCTATTGGAGACTTCACTACCAAAAAGAAGAAACAGATGTCTCTGCCAATACTCACCTTCTTTTAAAAAAGTCCTTTTTAATTGACAAGTAATTGTGTATATCAATACTCCATTTTATTAAACACTCTTTCATGCCAGCTTCTAATGAAGGACAACTACAAGGCCACAGATATGTTCTTCCTATTCCAGGTTCCTCAAGGAGAGGGCTATGGGGGTGAATAAACATTGACGGGAGGGAAAACAAAGCCATTTCTTGAGGCTGAAGAGAATATACATCCCTTTCTTCTTTCCTGAAGCTGCAGGCATCATGGGGATTATGAATGCTCCTTTCCTCGCTTTCCCCCAGGACTTCTTTGGGAGATAAAGTTGAAGAGAAGGGATTTGGGGGTTGGTGTTCCCCAATGTTGCAAGGCGTATTTTAATTTGAAGAACACCAGGCTCAATGGAAAGAAAACAGGGCATGCACTTAAGCCTAAATCTAGATTGAAGTTAATGACGCGCCTTTAGATTCACTGTGGATCCTGTTTACTGGGCTGGATAAAGAATCAAAGAGTGGATCTGGATTATCGTACTAAGCACTTTTGATTTTTTTTTCTTTTTTCTTTTTTTTTTTTTTTGAGACGGAGTCTCTCTTTGTCACCCAGGCTGGAGTGCAGTGGCGCCATCTTAGCTCACTCCAACCTCCACTTCCCGGGTTCAAGTGATTCTCCTGCCTCAGCCTCCTGAGTAGCTGGGATTACAGGCATGTGCCACGGCTAATTTTTGTGTTTTTAGTAGAGATGGGGTTTCACCATGTTGGTCAGGTTAGTCTTGAACTCCTGACCTCGTGATCTGCCTGCCTCAGCCTCCCAAAGTGCCGGGATTACAGGTGTGAGCCACCGCGCTTGGCTATTCTTAATTCTATAACGAATAGCAGTTCTACGAGGTGGGTATTGTCATCTCCGGTTTTTAGATAGGAAAATCAGGAGGCATTAGGGCTACAGAAGAAATCAAATGGCACCCTCAAGTCTACCTAAGGAAAAAGTACATCTACAGGGTGGGGGCAGGGTGCAAGGAACTAACAAAGAATGATGAAGCACCCCGGAAGGGACAATGGCCTGAGAGGGGAAGGGGAGGGAGCTGGAGTCTCAGAGAAGGGCCAGCTGGACAGGAGCTGTCTGGAACCAAGCATCGTAGTGAGGCAGGGAAAGTTGGGCTAATACATTCCAGACCTGTCCCCTTTCTGATCTCGTGCTCTCCACTGGATGGAAGCCAGAGTGATGCAGTTAGAGCCCAGAAGAAGGCAGACAAGGTGGGGAGTAGATGTGGAGGTTGAAATGAGAATAACCAGCACAGAGGTTTGGTTGGATACGTGTAAATAAAAGAGCTGGGATTTTAAGCAGGTTTGTCCTCAACTAAACTCGAAAGCTCTCACTCCTTCTACCATGACAAAGTTTTTACGACTCTGCATTGTGGCCTATTGCTGGTCATGATATCAATTTGGTGGCTTGCAGTCAGCATTTTACAAACCGATGTAGGACAAACTATCAGAGTGCACTGCAACATGCTTCAGTTATACAGATCACAGCAACAAATGTATTTCTTACTATGGAATACCTGCATGACGCCACATTGCGCTCATATGTCTTAATTCAGCCTCACAGGAACATGCCCTAAATTCCAAAATACAGAAAAGGCCAAGGCCATAAGAAGACTGTCAGAAACAGAAACGATTTTAAGAGGTTGGATGCAGTTGAAAGGATTCAGCCCATGTTTCTAATGGCTGCGTATCAGTGAACAGGTGGTTCAACAACAGGAAAAGTAGCCACAGATTAAGGCCAGGAAATGGAGGAAAAATGAGCAACAGTAACCAGCTAGCATTTTTGCAGGTGAACACCTTTGTTGTCTCAGCAATTCCAGTAGTTTAAAATCAGAGAATTTTCTTTTTATGTATTTATTGAGATGGGGTCTTGCTCTGTTGCCTAGGCTGGAGGGCAGTGGCACGATCACGACTCACTGCAACCTTGACCTCCCGGACCCAAGCAGTCCCCCTACCTCAGCCTCCCAAGTAGCTGGGACTACAGGCACACATCACCATGACTTTTTGTATTTTTTGTAGAGATGGGGTTTCACCATGTTGTCCAGGCTGGTCTTGAATTCCTGGGCTCAAGCAATCCTCCTGCCTCAGACTCCCAAAGTGTTGGGATCACAGCTACTCTTCCTGGCCAAAGAATTTTCTTTTCTTCTTCTTTTTTTTTTAATTGATTTTTACTTAACCTAATTTATAGGCTTACAGGGAATTTTCTTTACACGACTGTAGAATATGGGCTTTGTAACTGGGCAGACTTTACTTTTTTGTTACAAGCCACTTAATAGATTTATGAGTTATCTAGCCTCTTTGATTTGGCAAATAGAAACCTCTTAGAGTCATGGAAGACACATGCAAATCACGCTAATATATGTAAAGCATCTGACTTGACTTACAAGTGCAATAAATAATGGTGATTCCTTTTTGTACTGTTATAATTCCACACTGGCTTTTAAGTAAAAATGGTTATTATATGTGAATACACCTTCCTTACTGCAAAGGCTAAACAAGTATTATTAAAAGGAATAGTTTTATAGGTCACTGTTTTTAAATCATAGGCAGAGCTAACACTAAAGTGAATCTCAAAGTAAATCCCATCAAAGTCCTCTCAGTGCAGAGACAGCAGCTAGGGAGAAGACAGAATAAGGTAAGTGTTAGAGGAAAAGAACGCTGTGAGTTTTGTGCAGGAGTCCTGAACCCAAACTATTTTTTTTTTTTTAAAGATGAGGATTCACTCTGTTGCCCAGGCTAGAGCACAGTGGTGCAATCACAGCTCACTGTAGCCTTAAACTCCTGGGCTCAAGCGATCCTCCCACCTCAGCCTACTGAGTAGCTGAGACCATAGGCATAAGCCACTGTGCCTGGCTTGAAACTGGCATTACAAATGTAATTAAACCTGCTCTGTAGCCTTACCCACTACTTTATCCTACCCATCTCCCACCAACAGATGCAAAAACACATTTTATACTTTTGAGTGCTAGACTTATTATTTCAAACAGACACTTTTTTTTTGCAAATCAAACTTTAAATGTGACTTTATTATCTCTCTTCCATTTTTATTATTGAATAAGTGAATGAAATATTAAACTAAATTATAACTTTTCCTGAACTGTTTTTAAATCATAGGCAGAGCCAGGGTTTTCTTTTTTTCTCTCTCTCTCTGTAATTGCGACATGAATGTACTTTGATCCCAGTAATCATTTTCAATCAATGGGAAAACAAATGAAAAAAAATCCCATGCTGGAATGATGCAAATAGGTGAGCTTGCTTATTAGAATCTTTTTTTCTTTTCCTCTTACAGGCCACTCACATAATACATATCCAAGTCAGAGAATGCTGATATAAACCTTGCCCACCTCTCTCAGCCCGTCTTTCTTACTCAGACAATTTCTGAGCAGCTCTTTGATGAACACACAATCTTCAGTTTCCAGGACAAACTGAGCCACAGCCTTCCCTCCTGGCAGATGGCTCCTCACCATCTGACTTTTGACACTGTCCAGGACAACTCCCCTGATGTCTTTAGGCTTTCCTGGCATACCAAAGATGATAAACAGACCCAGGCAATCCTCTCCTATTAAGTTACAGAATTCTTCCAGCTTATCAAATCTACTTTTCTTCCAGGAAGACTCCTCTACCCTTGATTCTGGATTGGAAAGGTCACAAGGCTTAGATTCCACAGGAGGAGGTGAAGACATCTGCAGAGTCTGTACTGCGAGCTGAAGCTTTATTTGCTTGTTGGATCCCCAAAAGGTCCAAATCCAGTCTGCACCAAACAGGAAGGCTTGGTGCTTGGTCATCTTGGTGGTGGTCAGCCACTCATCAACTCCCTTTTCTTGGCAGAAAGTGATGAAATGGATTAAGAAGATCTCATTCAGAGTATTTGCAGCTGGGCAGAGTTTACTTGGAGGATATTCAAATCCAAGGTACTCCTTCAGTTTCTGAGCTGCATGGACTATAGCTTCACTGACCACCTCACAGACGACGGGCACCTCTTTGCTGTCCTTCAGAGCCAACTGTTGCGATGCTTTCTGCCCCATTTTCTCTGCATCCAAATATCAAACATGTGAATCTGGTTCAGACGTACTTCTTTTTCAAAGTAAAAGTTCTGCAGGGAGGCCACATCTGTTAATGGTTCATGTTTTTCTAACTCTACAGCTTCCTCGGGTGTAGTTAAGCATATATACATACAGCTAAATAAACATGTTAGTTCTCTCTGTTTGTCAGTTGGGTGTGTTGTGTTCATACAGTTCCTGCTGGTTTATTAAGTTAAAGATACTAAATTTCACACAAAACATCTGTTCTATCTAGGTTATATTCACTCTACTTTTAATCTTTGGTAATCTCTTCCAACATGTTTCCTCTTTCCAAGTTTTAGTTGAAGTAAAAATAGCACGTTAGTTCTTTTTGTTTTTGTTTTTTGAGACAGGGTCTCACTCTGCTACCCAGGCTGGAGTGCAGTGGCGCAATCATGGCTCACTGCAGCTTCAACCTCCCTGGGCTCAGGTGATCTCACCTCAGCCTCTTGAGTAGCTGGGGCTACAAGTGTATACCACCACACCTGGCTAATTTTTGTGTATTTTTTGTAGAGGTGGGGTTTCACCATGTTGTCCTGGCTGGTCTCAATCTCCTAGGCTCAAGCAATCCTCCCGCCTCGGCCTCCCAAAGTGCTGGGATTATAGGCATGAGCCACTGCACCCAGCCCTATGTTAGTTTTTTAAATATCCATACACCTCTTTCTACAACTAACTTCTTCCAATCTCTAGGTGAGTCATTTCCATTTGCTTTTCCTATTTTCTTTTTTTGTTTGTTTTTGTTTCTTTTACCTTCTGCCATGATTCTTCATTCCCCAGCTCAGTTGCTTCTTTTCCTACAAAAGCTTCTCAAACAAAGGCCTCAAATTCCTATCTGTTGATACACATTATAAACTCCATTCGAACAAATTTATGGCAGTTTATAAAGAGATTGTGTTATTTTCTATGTCAGAAACAAAGCCTGTTACTATGAACAACGGAAAATGAAATAAGGGCAATAAAAATGAGGCAATTATCAATTGACTTTATTTCCTTTCATATGGTAACACCAGCAGTGTATGATATTTGTAAATAAAATACGTCATAAAAAAATTTAACCTTATTACCTATTATCAGTTAGGTTATACCATCCTGAATA